>NW_012132915.1:0-160415 GCF_000001405.40 Homo sapiens
AAACCTTCATTAACTTCAGTGTAACATAATACCATAAGTGATGTTTCCTGTTATTAAATCACAAACAGTATTAGGAATGAGAGGCTGAAGCAGGAGAATGGCTTGAGCTCACAGATTTGAGGCCAGTTTGAGTGACATAGTGAGACCCCTTGTGAAAAAAAAGAGAAAATTTTAAATGCGGTATATTTAAAACACATATTTCTAGACATTTATTACTGGTATATGGAAATCATGTTTATTATCTAATATCATAAACTCTGACATGATCACTATCATTTCTTTAGTTTTTAATAAATTTTCAGCATTTGTGTATGTCATATGTATTTATTGATTGACATAGACCTTAATGTCTTATAATATAATACAGAAGTGGACATGAGCATATTATAATTTAATTAAAAAAATGAAAGAATTTCCACTTAGAAGACCACCATAGCTGTTGCTATAAATGCAGAAATAAACACAAACTTAACTAAAAATTCATGTGTATGATGACATCGGAGAGCTACAGAAGACACAAAGGTTAGATGACCTAAAATTCTAGAGAAGAAATAGACCTCTGTAGGTGAGGTAAATCTGAGCTCTCATTTAGTTCTTTTTTTGTGTGTGTGGTTTCCATGGAATCTATTTAATCAAAACTGCAGAAGGTTCTAGAAAAACACATTTTTAACCAAGGACTGCCGATGATTCTAAGTTTTGAGTAAAACTGTGGTTGGGGGAAACAATTTTCTGCTTTATTGTGTGTCCGAGTACATACATGATAAAAGTAAAAGCCAGGGAATGGAATAAAACATAGCTTTATATAATATATTAGTAGATACCTAAATACAATATGGTCTTAAAAATGAAGTCATATGTATATAGTTGTATTCCTAAGTATGTTAGTCCCCCCTCATCCACAAATCTCCTTTCTGTGGCTTCAGTTACTTATAGTCAACCACAGTCTAAAACACATGAGTACTGTAAAAGAAGATATTTTGAGAGCGAGAGGGACCAACCAAATTCACATAACTTTTCATATTAGATCTTAGTGATGCAAATTAGATCTTACTCATACAAATGAGACATTGAATTAAGTCTTTCTCTCAGTCTGACCCTTAGAATTGTCTTTTGTAAGATTTTAAAATGCATCAAGTAATACTTACATATGTAACAGCTGACCCCTGAGCCATCACTGACACAGATGGTACCAGGACTGCTGTGCACAGACAGGCTTTCGACTCTGAGTAGTAGACACAAGTTTGCTGTATTTGCAGCCTCCACTTGAGGGCTTGGGGGTTCCCTGGCCTGGCTACACTGATAGCACAACTGGCTTTGACTCTATCCCCAATTCCCCTTCCTCCCTATCCCCTATGCAAATCCCAGTAATTCTCCAGGTGATATCCTGGGGATTTCCTTGGGATATTCTTGGTCTTCATCCTGCCTTAGAGAAAACTGATCCTCAGAGGCCTCACCTGATCCAGAGTTTTAGGTTTATCCTGACCCAGACTCTAATTCCAGGGTTATCCTCTTGAGTTGGAGGAAGAAATGGTGATTTTTAAAAGATAATCATCTATAGGATCAGTAGTCAGAGGCTTCATGCTGATGAGCTGTAGGAAATAAGATCAAATGGCAGCAAAAGGGTGGAATACGGAAGTTTCCAAAATAATAATAAGGTATAGCCCATTTGGTTCACTGGAAATTAAAGAGACCCATGGCCTTGAACAATGATGTATGTGTGAGTTACACACCCTTCAAAGAAACATGGTGTTATCTTTGTGTGTCTGCACTGAATAGCTTGGTCATATAACGGTAATAAGAATGGCAGCAAAATGCCCAGTCATCGCCCAATGGGCTCATGAACAAAGTGATCGCAGTGGCAGGAATGGAGCTTATGCATGGCCTCAGTAAAATGGACTTTCACTCCCTACAGCTGATCTGGCTGTGGCCACAGCTGAGTGTCCAATCTGTCAGATGCAGAGACCTACACTAATTCTCTAATATGGCACCATTCCCCTGGGTGACAAGCAGCTACGTGGTGGCAGGTTGATTACATTAGACCACTTCCATCATGTAAGAAACAGCATTTCATTCCTACTAAAATAGATGCCTACTCTGGATATGAATTTACCTTCCCTGAACACAGTGCTTTTGCCTGAACTATGATCCATAAACGTACAGAAAGCCAATAGTCCTAAGCAAGTTTATATTCTCTGGACACAGTTTTTAGCTGCTGCAATCAAACATGATTTAATTAACTTACCATGGGTAAGTGGCTTCTCTTCCTTAGCTAACAAATGTGCCACTCAAAAACTTAGTTTTGCGGCAGCCTCATTTTCATTTTTTAATTTTGTGAATAAATTCTGTTATGAACAGCTATTGTGTTTTAAATTTTTCTAATTTTTACAAATCATGAATAGGTATTGGATTTTGACAAATGCTTTTTCTGCACGTAATGATATAATCATATGAAATTTCTTTCCTCTCAATCTGTGTATCTTTAATTTCCATTATTTGTCTTATTATATTGGCAGAACTTGTAGTACTCTGTGGAAAAGGAAGTAAGAGGGAACATCCTTTCCACATCTTAGCAGGAAAGCTTCTAATTTCTCACCATTAAATATGGTGTTACATGCAGATTTTTGTAGATGGACTTCATGACTTGCATCTACAAGAGGAAGTTCTCTTCTATTCTTAGTTTACTGAGAGTTTTTTCTTTATAATTAATGAGTATGGGATTTCTTTAAATTCTTTTTCTGCGTTTATTGATATGATTATGTATTTCTTCTTAATCTGTTAATATGATGGATTACATTAATTGGTTTACTAATATTGAACCAGCCTTGCAGATGTGGAATAAATCCCAATTGCTTATAGTATATAATTCTTTTTAGATATTGTTGGGTTCGATTTACTAATATTTTATTGAGGAATATTGCATCTATTTTCATGAGCAATATTGGTCTGTAGATTTTTTTAGTAATTTCTTTTTTTTGGTTTGGCATTCTGATTATGCCAGTCTCATAGAAACAGGAAGTATTCTCTCTTGCTTTTCTCTTCTGGAATATATTGTAGAGAAGTGGTATAATTTCTTCCTTAAATATTAGATAGAATTCACCCATAAATCCATCTAGGCCTGGTGTTTTCTGTTTTGAAAGCTTATTAATTATTGATTCTACTTCTTCAATAGATACAGGTCTTTTCTGATTTTACTATTTCTTCAGTGTGAGCTTTTGTAGATTGCATTTTTCAAAAAGTTGGTTTATTTCATCTAGGTTATCAAGTAAGTGGGCACAAAGTTATCTATAGTATTCTTTTACTATTTTTTTTAGCATACATAAAATCTATAATGATGTCCTCTTTTTAATTCCTTGATACTTTTCCTTGCTCTGAAGTCTGGTCTGTCTGAAATTATTCTGGTTTTCTTTTGATAAGTGTTAGCATGGTATATCTTTCTCCATCCCTTTACTTTTAATCTATATGTCTTTATATTTACAATGGATTTCTTGTAGACTACATATAGTTGGGTGTTTTTTATAATGTGGCTGACAATCTCTTTTAATTGGTGTAACAATCCACTGATGTCTAAAGTGATTATTAGTACATTTGGATTGATGAATAATGTTTGTTATTTCATATTTGGTGCTCTGGTTCTTTTTGCTCATTTGTCTCCACACTTTTTTTCTGTCTTTTGTGATTTCAATTGAGCATTTTGTATGATTCCATTTTCTTTCTTTTCTTAGCATATCAGTGATGGTGATCTTTTTTTTTGTTTTTGTTTTTTACTTTTTAAGTAGTTGTACTAGGGATTGCAATAAATGTACAATTAATCCAAGTCAGGTTTTATTTACTTTTTTATGCTAATTTTTTTATTAGAATGAAAGCTATAAATAAACACATTACATAGAGAAAACTTTTAATATATATTCCTATGTGTAGATTATACAAGTGATGTTTGCATACATTCTTGTTATTAAGAAACTACAATGAAGTATTTAGATTAAAAAGTAAAAGTCACTCTTCATACACCACTAGTGGTCTTTCTACTGTTCCAGTGATTTAATAAAATAATTTTTAATTGTTTTTCCAAAATATTTTATTATTAAATAATAATTTTTCATATTTATGGGGTACCTGTGATATTTTGATATATGTGTGTGTGATAAACAAATCAAATGTGTAATAAACAAATCAAGATATTTAAGACATCCATCACTTCAAACATTCATAATTTCTATGTGTTGAGAATATTCAAAATCTTCTCTTTTAGCTACTTTTAAATGTACAATGTTATTGATAGCTATTGTCACCCTATGATGCTATCAAAAACTTATGCCTTTTCTCTAACTGCATGTCTGTACCCATCAACCAACCTCTCTTTATTCCCCCCTTCCCAGCTTCTGGTAACTATTCTACTCTCTAGCTCCATAAGATCCACTACTTTAGCTCTTACATATGAGTGAGAACATGAAATATTTGTCTTTCTGTGTCTGGCTTATTTCTAAGTGCACTTTTAATTAACATTAAATGTTTCATGGGTAGTGCAAATATGTTATGATAATAGTAGCTATTAATCAAAATTCTATGTATTACTGCTGTTATATAATTGTGTGGCTTAATAAATCGAAATTAAATTGAAGTATAATTAATTTTAACTCTCCAGCCTGAGTATTAAAACAGGAACTACTGATGCTTAGGCAGTAAGCACTGTGAGTAAATCATTACAAAATAAAAGCATACTCATAAACATTGTAACAAAACATATCAAGGAGTTATTATAATTCTCCCAAGAGTTTAGAATCTCCATGTTTGAAAATTGCTGTAATAATGCAAAGCAATTTTCCACAGTATTAGAAGTAAAAACTAAGTTTAAATATTGTTATATTTGATAGAAAAGAACATTATTCTCATATGAAGATTCAAATTATCAATTATTATTGAGAAAAACAATTTAAAAATTATTTTTTCCTTGTAATGGAGGATCCAGTGATATGATAGAATGCATAAGCAGACATTTTGAATTATATGAAAGCTGATCTTGCTATTCATGTTACTATTATATTTTCAAAGTAATAAAATATTTTTGAGAAAATTCTCTTCCTGTTTTAAGAAGCAGCCCTGCATTTTTATTTTGCACTGGGGCTCACAAATTATGTTGTTGGTTCTGTTTTCCAGTAATACATATCAGATACCAGCAATGCTGAAGTTTGGAAACTTTCTAGAATGCTTTTTGTTTCATTAGGAAGAGTCCTCCACCTCCATGATTCCCTTTGCCTTCTAGAAGAATAAAATGGGAAAAACAGAATTTTATTATTAAAAAAAAAAACCCAGAAGAGTAACATCACTTTCCACTCAAACTGACTACACTAATCTAATTTCTCATTCTTTATCTCTTTTACACTAAGGTATACCTGTAATTTTCAGAGTTCCATTTTCAAAGACTGCTTATAGTTTTTAAAAATGTGCATTTATGGTATAGAAAGAAAATCATTTTACGACTACCAGGTTCCACTGAAAAGTAATTAATATACTGTAGTCAAAATAAAATAAAAATTTTAATACATGAAAACAACTACCGAAATGTTATGAAATTATAGTTTAGTAGAACTAACAAGTGCATTAATGCAAAAGAAAAGTAGGGCTCAGTAATCAGGGAACCAAGTGTGCATTGTAAAAGTGCAGCCTCTCTAACACTGGGTTTCATCACAAGTAACAGAACAGGATGCCTGATGCAGGGAAAAAAGAAAGGCAATTGTTGGCAATGTCAGGAATATTGCCATGGCGTCTACCACTGGTGGGTTACTGAGCATCAGAACCACAGAAGAGGTAACACTGAAGCCTGCAGAATAATGAGTCTTGTTGCAGAAATGCAAAGAAAAAGAAAGATGATAAATGCACACCCAGGAGGTTACGTTAATTTTAACCTTCTGAGTGTGCACAGCTGTGAAGATAAAACTATGCACAGCTCATGGGTTAGGTTTCACACAGTCTGCCATTTAAACACTCCCTATGTCACCATCATGTACCATATAATTTGCATATTTGTCCTTTATATAACCCTATAATATGTTTGTGGCCATAAAATCTGTGCTGTCAAACTGATTAGGAACTGACTACCACCTGCAGGTCAGGGCCAAGGTTATGGGGTCCCAGGTTCACCTCCTCAGCTTCCTCCTCCTTTGGATCTCTGGTAAGAGAAACACTTCCTCTCCTCTGTGCCACCAAGTCCCCTGCATATCCACAAAAATAATATATTTTCATAAGGAATTGATTTTCCTCATTCTCTGCAAATATGATGCATTTGATTTATGTTTTTTACTTTGCTCCATAATCAGATACCAGGGCAGAAACGACACTCACGCAGTCTCCAGCATTCATGTCAGCGACTCCAGGAGACAAAGTCAACATCTCCTGCAAAGCCAGCCAAGACATTGATGATGATATGAACTGGTACCAACAGAAACCAGGAGAAGCTGCTATTTTCATTATTCAAGAAGCTACTACTCTCGTTCCTGGAATCCCACCTCGATTCAGTGGCAGCGGGTATGGAACAGATTTTACCCTCACAATTAATAACATAGAATCTGAGGATGCTGCATATTACTTCTGTCTACAACATGATAATTTCCCTCTCACAGTGATACACCCTGTTACAAAAACCTCCAAGTTCTCTCAGTGGGATTGCCTCAGCTGCTGCTGAAAATGTTCAGAATGTGGAACTGGGTGGCCCTGTGGTGTTTATAAGGCTTCTCCATGCCCATGCAACTCACTTCCTTTTTCTTTTTGTTTCTGTAGTTTCTGCTGCCCCCATGCTGTGCCTGACACACTTGATATGGCAAAAACCAGGACAGCCTTTCTCACGTTGTCCAGCTGTGCCAACAATTTCACTTCCAAGCAGAGGTAAATTCTCATGGCCAACTCCCTGTCTTTTGCCACACTCATCATTTCCACCTCCAAGAAAAACAAAACCAAAAACCAAAATGCATCTAGCTTAGATTCCAAATAGTAGCATTAAAGGAAATTGTCCCTCCCTATAAGCATTCTCACCCTCATCCACACAGTCATCGTGACTCTTCCCTAACCCACTGAGTGCTCACCAGTCCTCTTCAGTCCTCCCTCCAGTGATGGGGAAAAGCGAGTGATAGTTATGAGAGCAACATGTAACCTGGGTGCAGACTCTTACTAGTCAGGTTTGCCTCAGATTTCAAGTATTTATCTTTCTTTTATTTTCCATTTTTTTTCTTAATTATATGGATCAGTAAGATGTCTCATTTCTTTTTTTTAAGTTACTTGTTCTTTTAACACAATTCAATTCTATAATTCCAAATTTAAAGAGATACCCTGTATGTCTTTGGCATGTGTTATATCTGGACAAGTTTTGGGTTATCCCCTTCATGCCACTGCTCAAATCTTACCTGAAACCCCACATATTTTTCCAAAAACCTGAAAACTGTGTAGCGGTTGAGGAAATTAAATTTGGCAAATCACAATACTTGAGGAAACATGTATCTTTTTATCTTCACTCTCTAATGTTCAGGTGATGCTGTTTAATTGAGCATTTGCTATTTAGAATCACCCCTCTGAAACTTGTGGGAAAACAGCACCAGCAAGGCAGTCTTCATGTTTTGACCTCATTATTCCTGGATTATGCTAGCCTTCTTGCTATTGTTCTACTACAGCCACTACCTGAAGAAACCTCATGTAGGATTGTTTCCTAATGAAATATTAAGATTTATCTGCAATTATCCCTAACTCTGCAAACTTAACTGACTTCTCAGGTTAGTATTTAATAGCCATCAAATAAGGAGTGGCTGAAATAATATTACCAAGGAAGGAAATAATTGGATCATAGAAATGAGGGCTTTGTGGTTATTGCATGGTGAAGACCAACAAAGGCCATTGCAACCAGTAATAATATGCACAATGATGAGCTCGTAGTTAAGAGCAATTTCTGTCTTAGTTTTACTGTCACTGAACTGGGCTGGAACCCTGGAGGGCAGGGTAGATGAATGATAATCAAAAACATGATTTCATATGTTAAGTTCTTTGGAAGGCTCAATTTCGGAGATTTCTCCCACTTTCTATAAGAGCAGACATCAAAGAATCTGATTCTGGAATCTCGTTTTTTCTCTTACAGCTCTCTTTTTTTCTACTCTAATCTCTTTTCCGCTTCCAAGGACATACATTGATAAATATGGTCAACAGAATATTAAGGTGATGTCAATATTAGTGACTACCCTATAAGAGGGAACAGAAACATTCGTGTTTGTAAGCTTTTAGTCCTCACTTAAGCTTCTTTCTTGAGTAATGTAATCGCTCCCCTTAATGTCTGGAGCAGACATTAGTAAGAATAATAAATAGTATGTTTAGTCTCAAAGATGGTGAATACAGAAAGTGGTCAGAATGTGAACAACACTATTAAGTATTTAGCTAAAAATAAAACTATTGAGTTTTGTAAATTCTTATCAAGTCTTCTCTAAGATTGAAGCTCCAGGTTTTAGTGAAAATCCTGTCCAGGAAATATTACATTATAATCCCTTTCTCTCTGTTCCCATCTACCTTAGGCTCATAGTGACATGAAAGCAAATTTCCATCCTCTGGGAATATATAAACCCGGATTATTTCTTTTTATATAGATGCTCTATCCCTTGCCTGTGTGCTATTTTCTTACTGAGTCACTACCTTGCACCATGTACACAACCCCCAGTGGTTTACGATAGGATGAACCTATTGAAGCAGCTAGCAGAGAAAAGGTTATTTATGTGGGTAACTGTGTATGCTTGTTGGACATTCCCTGGGTCTCTCACACTGTTACCACAGCAGCATTATAAAAACATCATCTATCTATCTCTCTATCTATCAATTGATCTATCTGTCAATCTATCTATTGTCTATCTCCATAAACACACAAACATACTCACATTTGTGTGTGTGTGTGTGTGTGTGTGTGTGTGTATGTATACAGAAGAAATGATAAAAGTTATATATGTCTTATGTCCCAAACTTTAGAAAGGATATGTAACATGTTAGCAATCTTTGAACACACTTGCTGGAATATAGAGTAAAATACTTTGTTGCTGGTATATCAAACTGTAGTAGATAATCCTTCTGATTTCCAAACAGGGTATACAAATGCACCTTTCCACCAGCAATGTATGAGGGTTTCTATTGTTCTACATGTCCACCAATACTTGGTATTGTAAAACTTTTTAATTTAAGCCTTTCTTCTACATGTGTAGTAGTATCACTCCATAATTACGATCTGTGTTTGTGGGATTATATATGGATTATATATGCTTGTAGGGCATTTGACCATCCTCTGGGTTAAAATTTCTGTCAAATTCTGCCCATTTTACTAATGCATTTTCTGATTTAGTTGAACAGATATGTATGAAAATATATATATAACATATGCGTGATATATATCAGCGTGTATCTGCCTATCATCCATCCATCTATCTATCCATCAATCTGAATGTTTGTGCTCTGCCAAAATTCATATGTTGAAATCTTAATCTCAATATGTTGATCAAGATTGAGCCTTGGCAGGTAATTAGGCTGTTAGGGTAAAGCCCTCATGAATGGAATTAATGTCTTTATAAGAAGAAGTGAAGAGACCAGAGGGCTAGCTAGCTCTCTGCTCTTAGCCACATGAGGATGCAAGGAGAAGGTCCTCTACAAACCTGGAGTCGGGCTTCACTATACACCAGATTGGCTGGCACCTTGATCTTGAACTTCTCAGCTTCCAGAATTGAAAAAGTTTCTGCTGTTTAACCCTGTCCATCCCCCAGTTTATGGTAGTCTGATATAGCAGCCTGAACTAACATCTGTATCTATATTTATACAATTATAGATATAGATAGAACCAGTATTTTTTCGCATTTGTCTCTGTCTCTGGTTTACCTTTTTACTCACTTAAGTCTGTAAATGGAATCATTTTCTTAATTTGTTTTTCAGATTGTTTATTGTTATTGTAGAAATGCAACTTTTTTATTTTCTTTCCTGAAACTATATTTAATTTATTTATTAGTTCTAATATTTTTTGATAAGTTTTTTAAAAAAATTTATTTTGTTTTAAGTTCCAGGATATATGTATGGATGTACAGGATGTGCAGGTTTGCTACATAGGTAAACGTGTGCCACGGTGGTTTGCTGCACCTATCAACCCATCACCTAGGTATTAAGCCTTATGTACATAAGCTATTTATCATGATGCTCTTCCCCTATCCCCCAGTGTGTGTTGTCCCTCCCTGTGTCCATGCATTCTCATTGTTTAGCTCCCACTTGTAAGTGAGGACATGAGATGTTTGGTTTTCTGTTCCTGTGTTAGTTTGCTGAAGACAATGGCTTCCAGCTCCATCCATTTCCATGCAAAGGACATGATCTCATTACTTTTTATGGCTGTATAATATTCCATCGTATATGTACCACGTTTTCTTTATCCAATCTATCATTGATGGGCATTTGGGTGGATTCCATGTCTTTGCTATTATGAATAGTGCTGCAATGAATGTACATAAGCATGTATCTTTGTAATATGATGATTTACATTCCTTTGGGTATATACCCAGTAATTGGATTGCTGGGCCAAATGGTATTTCTGGTTCTAGGTCTTTGAGGAATTGCCACACTGTCTTCCACAATGGTGGAACTAATTTATATTCCAACAGTTTAAAAGTGTTTCTATTTCTCCACAGCGTCACCAGTGTCTGCTGTTTCTTGACTTTTTAATAATTGCCATTCTGACTATCATGAGATGGTATCTCACTGGGGTTTTGATTTGCATTTATCTAATGATCAGTGATGTTGGGCTTTTCTTCATATATTTTTTGGCCACATATATTTTGAGAAGTGTCTGTTCCTGTCATTTGTCCACTTTTAATGGAGTTGTTTGTTTTTTTCTTGTAAATTTGTTTAAATTCCTGGTAGATTCTGGATATTAGACCTTTGTCAGATGGATAGAGTGCAAACATTTTCTCCCATTCTGTAGTTGTCTGTTCAGTCTGATGATAGTTTCTTTTGCTGTACAGAAGCTCTTTAGTTTAATTAAGTCACATTTGTCAATTTTTGCTTTTGTTTCAATTGCTTTCGATGTTTTTGTCATGAAATATTTTTATCTGGGTATGCTGAAGAATAGTTTTCCTAAAAGTTATATATTAATAAACAAAGAGTTAGTGAGAGCACTAGAATCAGAGAATATATGTAAGAGTTTGTTCAAAGCAGGGTCTTAAATTTTAGTCTCATTGCAAATTTGGATTCTATTCCTCTTGAATGGACTACTGAAGAGATATAAAGACCATGAGGAAGCACGAAAATATCTGCTTTGCTGCCTCAAGGATGTTTAATTGCCCCATTGATTCTCTTGGGAAAGAATTCTCCCATTGTTGCTCACTGATTCTCAAAGATTAGAAGTAAAAATAACTTAGGGGATTTGTGACTAAAGTTCCCATGCCTAGAGATACTGACCTCCTACGTGGTGTTGAGTTTACCTTAATTCTTGAAGGATGCTTAACTTTGAAGGGAACTCTAGCTATATGGCTACTTTTTCTTATCATTTTAAGGAAATTTTATGGTCTCTGCTTTTCCTCATTTATGTTTAGAGGTTAGCTATTAATCTTATTCTTGTTTCTTCAAAATGAGAGAATTTTTTCTGATTAAGATTTTTTTGTTTGATCAGTAGATAGTAAAGTGTGACATTATTTATACAACGTAACACTACACAACAAAAAAGATTAATAAATTGCAACAACTTGAATTTTTACAGTAAAATTAAAATGACACATATCTATTACCTAAAACACATCTGAGAAGCTAATTTATAGAAATAGAAGTATGCATGTGTAAAGATATAGGTAAAATTGTATTAACAAATCCATTGATTATATTAGCAAAACCTGAACATAATTTAATTGCCCTTCAGTAGAAATGTTTGAATAAAGTATAGGTTTTCTACACAATCCAAAATGTGATGATAAAGAATAGGTTATATTTTTCATCTCTTGATCTGGAGATAATCTCTTTAGAAATGTTAAACATAAATTCCCAAAAATGTTAATTTATGAGCCAATATTTGAAAACATAGAAGCAGAATTATGAAAAGTAGTAATTTGTCTTTTCTATCTTTACAAATATGGAATCATTTTACATCTTGTGGGGTTACAATGAAGAAAAAAAGCAGTTATGACAATGGGAAAAATGTATGCGTAACATACAGCAATGTTCACAGAGATGAATGAAGTTATAGTGACAAATGAAAAATGTAAAAGGCAATTTGATTTATATTGAATATATATATGTCAGGAATATGGAATGAGAGGAGACAGGTAAACACAATAAAAACTCTGACCAATGCCTGAAATAAGGATATTACAGAAATAAAACAATGCTATTTAAACATCTAAAAACAGCATAATAATCACCAGAATTAAAAAAGATCCTGTAGATGTGTGTTCATTCATAGAAAGATGGAAGTCCCTACATTATTATTAATATTTTCACCATCAGAGAAATAGGGTGCTACTCAGAAAAATATTTTTTAAACAATTGACCTAAATCATATCAAGTAATGAGATATTTCTTGAGTCCAGGCATGATCATGTAAATGCATGTTGGTTAAATCCTTGGACTTGTAATGCACATTACAACTTTCAGAACTCCTCTCTGTTTAGCATTTATAGGAGACCTTCTGACTACATCAAACTTCATCTAATCACATTTTACCTGCACTGAGAACTTTTGGTGGGAAGTGAGATGGAACGCCATAGTGTCATTGCATATTCAGACCCCAAGAGGGAGCTGAGAGATCATGCCTTGAGGAAGTGATTCTGAAAGAGTCCCCACAGTGGAGGATTCCAGAGCTCTGTGTGATAACATTGCCTATCCACTGACCCACGCCCTCCCCAAATGTGCAAAGAAAGTCCAGCTGCCAGAAGCCCTTATCAGTGTGCAGATTCCCCATAATCAACACTCCTTTGCATCCACCATATCTGTAGGGGAAGTGCAGTTCCAGGCTCAGCTCCTCAGGTGTCTTCTACCCAGGTGAAAGTCCAAGGTAGATCAGTCACAAAATCAGTGCAATTTTAAAATTGCTTTATTAAAGTACAGTGTCAAACCATGAAAAGCACCTATTTTAAGTGTGCAAATCACTGACTTATGGTAAATTTGCAAAGTTGCAGATAACCACAGTTTAATCTTACAACATTTTAATCATCCCCTGAAGGATCCCTTATGCAGACCGGCAGCTATTTTTATTTCCACTCCCAGTCTCAGGCATGTATTAATCGACTTTCCCTCTATTGATTGCTTGATATGAACATTCTATATAAATGGAATAATGCATGCATGGTCGTTTCTATCTGGTTTCTTTCCATTAAACGAAGTTTAGGTTCATCCCTGTTTTAGCATGTATCAGTAGGCCATTCCTTTTTATTTTTGGATAGTATTCCGCTGTACGGATATATCACATTTTATTTATCTATTCACAGGTTGAGGAACATTGAGGTCCTTTGCACTTTTTGGTTATATGATGATCAACAATGCTGCTATGAATATTTGCCTGTAAGTCTTTGTGTGGACACCGGTTTTGATTTTTCTCAGACAGACCTCTACAAGTGGAAATGCTGAGCCATATGATAAATTTCTGTTTATTTTTTAAAAACTGCCAAACTGTTTTCAAGAGTGTGCAGCATTTAACACTTGCACCAACAGTGTATGAAGCCTTCTTTTCTGTCACATTCTCACCAACTTTTGTTATTGTCTGTTTTTTAAATTATTAAAATCATTATAGTGTATATGGAATGGTGCCTATTGTGAATTTAATTTGATTTTTGTTAATGACTAATAATGTTGAGCACCTTTTCATGTGATTACTGTCTGTTCATATATCTTCTTCCATAACATCTATACTAAAATATTTTGTTCATTTTTAAATTGGGTTGTCTTATGACTTATATATTCTGGAAATATGGCGTGTATCAGATAAATGGTTTATAAATAATTTCTCTGGTCTGTGGTTTGTCTTTTCATTTTCTTAATGGTATCCTTTGAAATGCAAATGTTTTGAACATTAATGAAACCTAATATATTAGCATTTTCTTTCATAAGTTGAGCTTTTGATGTTGTAACTAAGAAATATTTGGTGAACCCAGAAATGGAAAAGTTTTAACCTAAAGTTTTTATAATTTCAGATTTTAGGAATGGGCAGAAGCTGGAAACATTCCCCTTAAAAACTGACACAAGACAAGGATGTCATCTCTCACCACTCCTTTTCAACTGAGTATTGGAAGTTCTGGCCAGGGCAATCAGGCAAGAAAAAGAAATAAAGTGCATTCAAATAGGAAGAAAGGAAGTCAAACTATCCCTGTTTGCAGATGACATGATCCTATATCTTGAAAACCCCATCATTTCAGCCCCAAAGCTTTTTAAGCTGGATAAGCAACTACGGCAAAGTCTCAGGATACAAAATTAATGTGCAAAAATCACTAGCATTCCTATACACCATTCATACATTCCTATACACCATTCATACATTCATACAGCATTCCTATACACCAACAACAGTTATTCCGAGAGCCAAATCACGAACTCCCATTCACAATTGGCACAGAAAGAATAAAATACCTAGAAATACAGCTGACAAGGGAAGTGAAAGATCTCTACAAGGAGAACTACAAACCACTACTCAAAGAAATCAGAAACAACACAGACAAATGGAAAAACATTCCATATTCACTGATAGGAGTAATCAGTAACATTAAATGGTGGCTATACTGTCCAAAGCAATTTATAGATTCAATGCTATTCCCATTAAAGTACCACTGACATTCTTCATAAAACTAGAAAAAAACAATTTTAAAGTTCATACGGAACAACAACAACAAAAAAGTCCTGAATAACCAAGGCAATCGTAAGCAAAAAGAACAAAGCTGGAGGCATCACACTACCCAATTTCAAATTATGCTACAGGGCTACAGTTATCAAAACCACATGGTACTGGTACAAGAACAGACACATAGACCAATGGAATAGAATAGAGAGCCCAGAAATATGTCCTCACACCTATAACCATCTGATCTGTAATAAAGTTAACAAAAACAAAAAATGGGGAAAGGACTTCCTATTCAATAAATGGTGCTGGGATAACTGGCTAGCCATGTGCAGAAGATTGAAACTGGACGCCTTTCCTTAAGCCAGATACAAAAATCAACTCAAGATGGATAAAGTATTTAAATTTAAAACCCAAAACTATAAAAACCCTGAAAGACAACCTAGGCAATACCATTCAGGACACAGGCACAGGCAAAGATTTCATGACGAAGATGCCAAAAGCAATTGCAACCAAAGCAAAAATTGACAAATGGGATCTAATTAAACTAAAGAGCTTCTGCACACCAAAAGAACCTATCAACAGAATGAATAGATCCCTACAGAATGAGAGAAAAATTTTTCAAGCTATGCATCTGACAAAGGTCTAATATGCAGCATCTATAAGGAACTTAAACAAATTTACAAGAAAACAATCAACCCCATTAAAAAGTGGGCAAAGGATGTGAACAGACACTTCTCAAAAGAAGACATACAAGCAGTCAATAGTCATATGAAAAAAAGCTCAACATCACTGATCATTAGAGAAATGCAAATGAAAACCACAATGAGATACCATCGCACACTAGTCAGAATGGCTGTTATCAAAAAGACAAAAAATAACAGATGCTGATGAGGTTGTGGAGAAAAAGGAATGCTTATACACCATTGATGGGAGTGTGAATTAGTTCAACCATTGTAGAAGAGAGTGTGGTGGTTCCTCAAAGACTTAAAGTCAGAAATACAATTTGACCCAGCAATCCCATTACTGGGTATATACTCAAAGGAATGTAAATCATTCTATTCTAAAGGCTCATGTATGAGTACTTTCATTGCAGCACCATTCGCAATAGCAAAGACATTGAATCAACCCAAATGCCCATCAATGATAGACTGGATAAAGAAAATGTGGTACATACACACCATAGGATACTATGCAAGCATAAAAATGGACGAGATCATGTCCTTTGCAGGGACATGGATGGAGCTGGAGGCCATTATCTTCTGCAAACTAACACAGGAACAGAAAAACAAACACTGCATGTTCTCACTTATAAATGAGAGTTAATGATGAGAACACATGGACACACAAGGGGGAAAAACACACACTTGGGCCTATAGGAGGGTGGAGGGTGGGAGAAGGGAGAGAATCAGGAAAGATAACTAATGGATACTAGGCTTAATACCTGGGTGATGAAATAATCTGTACATCAAACCCCCATGACACATGTATACCTATGTAACAAACCTGAACATCCTGCATATGCACCCTTGAACTTAAAAGTTAAAAAATAAAATAAGATCTCTGATCTATTTTGATCTAGTGTGCATGGCAAGAGATCAGGGCCTAAATTCGTCTTTTCACCTATAGATACCAATTGAAAATCTATCCTTCCTCCCATTTAATTTCCTAGGCATTATTTTAAAAAATAACTTACCAAAAATGTAAAGGTTTATTTCTAGATTCTCAATTCCATCCTACTGATCTATAAGTTCATTTTTGTGCCAGCACCATCTTGTCCTGGAAACTGTAGTTTATAGTTGTTCTCTGCTTTATAGTATAGGCGATCCTTGGACAACACTGATATAAGCTGTGCAGGTTCACTCATACATGGATTTTCTGCCACATCTGAAATAACAAGACCAATCTCTCCTCTCCCTCCTCCTCAGCCTACTCAATGTGAATACGATAAGGATGAAGACATTTATAATGATCCATTTTCACTTAATGACTAGTAAACATATGTTCTCTTCTTTATAATTTTCTTAAAAACATTTTCTTTTCTCTACATTACTTGATTGTAAAATACAGTATATAATACATATAACAGTCAAAATATGAGCTAATCAGCTGTTTATACAATTGGTAAGGCCTCCAGTCTACAACAGGCTATCAGTAGTTAGATTTTTGGGGATTCAAACATTATACATACATTTTCTATTGTGCACGGCGTCTGTGCCCTTAACTCCCACATTGTTAGAGGGTCAACTGTACATTTTGAAACTGGAAATTTTATGCCCTCCAACTTCAATTTTCTTGAAAAATTGTTTTGGTTATTTGAAGTCTTCTGAATTTTCATATAAATTTTAGAATCAGTTCACCAAATTCTATAGCCTACTGGGATTTTGACTCAAATTGTGTTGAATCTGTAGATCACACTGGAGAGAATTATCATCTTAATAATACTGAATCTTCCAGTCCATGAACATGAAATGTCTCTTCACTTATTTGGATCTTCTTTAATGTCTCTCAGTAATGTTTTATAGTTTTCAGCATATCTCTTACTTTTTTGTTAAATATATTCAGAAGTATTTTCTTCTTATCAATGTTTGTTCATTGTCTTTATGCTTTATTTTCAAGTTAGTGATCCACAGTAGTCAATCTTATTTGTGTATTCTGTATTTGTGAATTTGCCTGCCTGCTAAAATTTAATACAATCCCAAAGTCAATACATAGAGTGCTTTTATTCTCATTTGTGGACATGCACAGAGTGGCAAAAAAATTGAGCCACTGAACACTCATGTTCCCAACTGAGGTTTAACAAAGCCACACTCTTCCATCTTGTTTCACTTCTCATACTGTAAACAAGTGTCCTTTTGCTCAATTTTGCTCTTTATGTTGGTAATTTTGTGGTTATAAATGTTCCCCAAATATAATAATGCTGAATTGCTGTTTAATGTTCCTAAGCACAAGTCTGCCATGTGTCTTACGAAGAAAATATGTGTGTTAGATAAGCTTTGTTCAGGCACAAGTCATAGTGCTTTTGGCCATGAGTTCAATGTTAATAAATCGTGTGTGTATGTGTGTGTGTGTATGTGTGTGTGTATAGGAAAATGCCTTGTTTTATTGCACTTCACTTTGTTGCTCTTTGAAGATACTGTTTTTTACAAATTGAAGGTTTGTAACAGCCTTGGGTTAAGCAGGTCTATCATCACCATTTTCCCAAAAGAATATGTTCACTTTGTGTCTCTGTATCACGTTTTGCTAATTTTCACAATATTTTAAATTTTTCATTATTATATCTGTTAGGGTGATCTGTATTTAGTGATCTTTGATGTTACTATTATAATTGCTTTGGGGAACCACAAAACACACAAACCACACTTACTCGATAAATGTATGTGTGGTGACTGCTCCAGTAACTGGCCGTTCCTTGTTTTCCTCTTGTCGGGCCTCCCTATTTCCTGAGACACGATAATATGAAGATTAGGCTAATTAAGAACTTTATAATGATCTGTAAGTGTTAAAGTGAAAGAAAGTCACATGTCTCTCACTATCAATCAAAAGCTAGGAATGATTAGGCTTAGTGAGCAAAGCATGTCAAAAGCTTAGATAGACCAAAAGCTAGACCTCTCGCCCCAGTTAGCCAAGTTGTGAATGCGAAGAAAAAGTTCTTGAAGAAAGTTAACAGTGCTACTCCAGTGAACACATCACAAATGTCTAAAAAGCAACATAGCCTTATTGCTGATATGGAGACAGTTTTAGTGATCTGGATAGAAGCTCAAACCAGCCACAACATTCCCTTAATCCAAAGCCTAATCCAGAGGAAGGCCCAAACTCATAGAATTTATGAAGGCTGAAAGAGATGAGGAAGCTGCGGAAGAAAACTTTGAAGCAGCAGAAGTTGGTTCATGATGTTTAAAGAAAAAAAGCCATCTCCATGACATACAAGTGGAAGGTGAAGCAGCAAAGTGCTGATGGAGAACCTGCAGCAAGTTATCTAGAAGATCTAGCTAGAAGTATTAATGAAAGTGGCTACACTTAACAACAGATTTTCAATGTAGATGAAACAGTCTTATGTTGGAAGATGATGCCATCTAAGACTTTCATAGCTAGAGAGGTTCCTGGCTTAAAAGTTTCCAAGGACAGGCAGACTCTGTTATTAAGATAATGCAGCTGATGACCTATGTTAAGTCGAAGCCAATGCTCATTTACCATTCTGAAAATCCTAGGGCCCTTAAGAATTATACTAAGTCTATTTTTCCTGTGCTGTATACATGGAACCACAAAACCTAGATGACAGCACATCCGTTTAGAGCATGGTTTACCAAATATTTGTTGAGACCTACTGCTCAGTAAAAAAAGATTTCTTTCAAATATTACTGCTCATTGATTTACAATGCACCTAGTCACTGAAGGGCTCTGAAGGAGATACACAAGGAGATGAATGTTGTTTTCATGCCTGCTAACACAACATTAATTCTTCAGCTCATGCATCAAAGAGTAATTTTGACTTCCAAGCTTTATTGCTTAAAAAATACATTTCATAAGGCTAGAACTGCTGTAGATAGTGATTCCTCTGATAGATCTGGGCGAAGTAAATTAAAAACCTTCTGGAAAGGAGTCACTATTTTAGATGCCATTAAGAAAATTTGTGATTCATGGGAGCTGGCCAAAAGATCAGTATTAACAGAAGTTTGAAAAAAGTTGATTCCAACCCTCATGGATGATTTCGAGGGGTTCAAGACTTCAGTGGAGTAAGTAAATGAAGATGTGTAAAATTAAAAGAGAACTAGAATTAGAAGTATAACTATGTAACAAACCTGCATGTTCTGCACATGTGTCCCATTTTTAAGAAGAAATAAAGAAAAAGAAAAGAAGCGGAGCTTGAAGATGTAACTGAATTGCTGCAATATGACAGTAAAACATTAATGGATGAGGAGTTACTTCATACGGATGAGCAAATAAAATAGTTTCTTGAGATGGAATCTACTGCTGTGAAGATGCTGTGAGCAAGGTTACAATGACAACAAAGGATTTATAATAGTATAAAAAAATTTAGTTGATAAAGCAGCAGTAGGGCTCGAGGATTGACTCCAATTTTGAAGGAAGTACTACTATGGGTAAAGTGCTATCAAAAAGTATGTCATGCTACAGAGAAACCTTTAATTAAAGGAAGATTCAATCAATGCGGAAAACTTTATTGCTGTCTTATTTTAAGAAATTGCCACAATCTCCCCAACTATCAACAACCACCACCCTAATCAGCCAGTAGCCAACAGCATTGAGATAAAATTCTCAACCAGCAAAAAGATTACTCACTGAAGGCTCAGATGATTATTACCATTTTTTAGTAATGAAGTATTTTAAATGATGTACATTGTTTTTAAAACGTAATGCTATTGCACACTTAATAGACTACAGTATAGTATAAACATAACTTTTATATATATGCAGAAACCCAAAAGTTTGTGTGATTCACTTTATTGTGATATTTGCTTTATTGCAGTGGTCTGGAACCAAATCTACAGGTATGCCTATATGTATATGCCTATATTTAAGACTTTATGAGATATATATAATCTGTTTAAGATACTCATACAAAAAGTTACCTATTGATCAGTTAATGAAAATGTGACCATAGGCTCATAGGAACATAAACCAGTACTACCACTAGGACCAATGGTTCAATATTTGTTAATTCAGCGTTTGTGACTTTACAGATATCTGTTGAAACATAACAAAATGTAACTGTACATGGAGATAAAATTTATTTCTGCATATTGCATATCTTATTGTGTGACTTTGCCAAAGTTGTTTATTACTAGTAGATTGTATGTGTAGTGGTGGGGGACATGTATTCCTTATCATTTAATATACATACAGGATTATATTTTCTGTAATTAAAATACTTTTACTCTTCTTTTAAATATTGATATACTTTATTTTTCATTTTTTTCTTGCTTGATTGCTTGACAAGAACATCCAGTGCAGTGTTGAATTGAGTAGCAAGAGTGAATATCCTTGTCTTGTTTATGACATTAGAAAGAAGGCATTCTGTCAACTTTAAGTAGATGTTAACTGTAAGTTTTTCATATATATCCTTTATAAGGTAAAGGAAGTTTCCTTCTATTACAAGTTTGTTGAGAGCTTTTGTCATAAAAGAGTTTTGAATTTTATCAAATATCTTTCTCCGTTTATTGAGATGATTACATTTTTTATATTTACTCTATGTGGCATATTACTTTATTGATTTTCAGATGTTAATCTATCTTGCATTGTTTAATAAATCCCATTTGTATTATGGTGCATAATCATTTCTATATGCTACTGGATTCTATTTAGTTATATCTTTTGATAATTTTTTCACATGCATTAGTAGGGGATATTGGTCTATGGTTTTCTTTCCTTGGAATGTCTTTGCTTGGCTTTGGTATTGGGGTAACACTGGCTTCATAGAATGAGTTGGGAAGTATTCTTTTCTCCTATGTATACTGAAAGAATTTAATGAAGATTGGTAATATTTATTCTTTAAATTCTTGATAGAACTCACCAGTGACGCCATGTAGTCTCAGTTTTTCTTTATTGGAAACTTTTTAATTTCTTCACTTGTTATGGTTCTATTCATATTTTCTATTTGTTTTTGAATTAGTTTTGGGTTATCTCATCTAAATTGCCTAATTTAATGACTTATTATTGTTCATCATATTCTCTTACAGTATTTTTAAAGTTTCTGTAGGATAGGCAGTTGTACCCCTTATTTCAATCCTGATTTTAATAATCTTGGCCTTCTCTTTTTTTCTTCAAGAGTCATAAAGATTTTTAATTTTGCCAATCTTTCCAGAAACACAACTTTTGCTTTCAATGATTTTCGTCTTTTACTTCATTGATTTATACTCTATTTTTAAAATTATTTTCTTCCTTCTGCTTGCTGTGAATCTCGCTGGTTCTTCTTTTTCTAGTCTCTTAAAATAGAAACTACCCAATTGGTTTTTAGATATTCTTTCTTTCTTTACTATACAGGTAATTACAGGCCAATATTTATAAAATTATTTATTTATTTCAAATCTTCCACTCTATAGATGAAACCTTCACCACTTCGTCACTCAGGAAGCAACAGGAGAAACATGAGAAGCTGGGATGAAAACACCATTTTGAGGAATCTGTTTGTCTGATGCTGGTCAGAACCTATTACCAGAGGAAGCTTCCTTATTTAATCCCCTTAGGACAGGGGCCATTTGAGAGAAAGAGAATAAAAACAAACAAAACACTTAGGCAATATGACAGTTTTAGTGGACAACCCTAGGTTGGCCCCATGATACAGAACCACTGGTGTTCCTAACTGTGTAATTCCCTCTTCTTGAGTCTGGGCAGAATTTTTGACTTCCTTCTAGCATACACAATATTGCAAAGGTGAAAGTATTTTGCAGATGCAGTAGTCCCAAATCAGTTGGGTTTGAGTTAATCATAAGGGAGATTATTGTGAGTGGATCTGACTTAAGCAGGTCAAAGCCATTAAAAGAGGAACTGAGCTCTCCTTGTTACCAAGAAATTATCCTAGCTGGTTTGATTATTAGTAGCCCATGTGGCAGGAAACTTAAGATGTTCTCTAGGAGCTTAGGGTGATCTCCAGCCAACAGCCAGCAAAAAGCCAGGACCCTCAGCCTTAGAGTTACTATGAAAACAATTCTGTCAACAACTTGAATGATCATGGAAGCAGACTCTTTAAGTCCCTGGATGAGAATGCAGCCTGGTCAACACCTTGACTGCAGCCTGTGAGACCTTGAAGAGAGGACCCAGATAAACTCTGCCCAGGCTCCCGACTCATAGAAACTGCATGTGAATTATAAACGTGTATTATTTTAAGCCACTAAGTGTGTGATAATTTGCATGGGCCAACAGCCAACTAATAATAAAATTTTATATGTAGTGAGATAGGGTTACAAGGGTTACAAATTTAGAAACCAATGTAAATCTTATTAGACTGAAATGCTGCAAAAGCCTATTTTGCCAGAGTTTCTCTGCTTGCTTTGTGGAGGATGCAGAAGACTGACGGAGGCCAAGGTAGGGATGGAGGGGCACATAATCACTAATCTTTCCATGATTGTGACTATGCACACCTGCATTTCTGGAGTCCACTCTGCCTGTAGTGTTAGAGCAATTAGAAAAGCAAAAAGAGAAGATGAGAAAAAAAACCTTAACAATGGACATGGAAAATATCATAGAAAAAGGACATGACCTGTAATCCCAGCACTTTGGGAGGCCAAGGCAGGTGGATCATGAGGTCAGGAGTTCGTGACCAGGCTGGCCAACATGGTGAAACCCCATCTCTACTAAAAATACAGAAATTAGCTGGGCGTGGTGGCAGGCACCTGTAATCCCAGCTACTTGAGACATTGAGGCAGGAGAATCACTTCAACCTGGGAGGTGGAGACTGCCGTGAGCCAAGATTGTGCCATTGCCCTCCAGCCTGGGTGACAGAGTGAGACTCTGTTTAAAAAAAAAAAAAAAGAAAAGAAAAAGGACATGAACACTGCATGAAGAGTAAAGGACAATTTATTAAAACTAGAGCTGAGAATCTAACTTTTGGGAAAGTCACCGAGATAGAGACATCTAAATTAAATAAGCAGAGATAACTACCTCACAAGTCTTAGGTTTCTAAATAACTAGAAAAGCCTTTTCATGTGGGTTCAGCAAATAAAAGTGGAGAAAAGTCAAAATTCAGGTGAGAAGGTCACCTATATCTGAAAGATATAGAGCTAATAATTTTGACTATTCAGAGCATTTTTTAAAATGACTACAAAGTTTTCTTAATGTTTAAAATTCTTCTATTGGTAAGGGTCTTTGACATAAAAAATATACATTGAGAAGTAGAAAACTTCTGAGAGGTCCTGATACAGTAAAGAAATTATTAAATTATAAAACTGGCTGTGACACACATGCATGCACACACACACACACACATCAATTTAAGGATTTTCTCTTTGATAATTTGACCCCTTTGTTCAAACAAGCCTATGACAGCAGGCTGATGGACCTGCATAAAAAGCCACATCTGAGGGATTTGAGCCTCAGGGAGCAGCTGCCTGGGGAGGTTTTTGTTTAGACCTAAAGCACTGTGGGAGGAAAATTCTTACTCTGCAGACAGTAATAATTTGCAGTATCATTAGCTTCCACAGGATTAATTGTGAGGGTGAAATCGGTCCCAGACCCACTGCCGCTGAACCTGGCTGGGACCCCAGTGTCTTTATTGGATGCTTGGTAAATCAGGAGTTTAGGAGGTTGTCCTGGTTTCTGCTGATACCAGTGAATTAAGTTTATTCCCAAGAAACTGACACTCTCACTGGCTCTGCAGGTGATGGTGGCCCTCTGTCCTGGAGACACGGCCAAGGAGGCTGGAGACTGGGTCAGCACAATGTCCCCATTGCAGCCTGAAATGATAAAGACAGATAAATTATATCAGATATACTGAGACTGTCCCCATGTAGGCCATGCATTGGTGACACTTGTAACCACAGTCATATGCAACATCTTGAGTAACCAGAAAACAAAAGATAACTGGGGAACTTACAACCTACAATGAGTGCCCTAAATCCAACAACCAAGAATCCAGAGACACAAAAAACAATGATGGCCACATGAGTTTGCCCGATGTTTCCCTATACCCCCTCACTTGGAGCCCAGAGCAGGAGGATCCACAGCAAAGGAGCCCCGGACCCTATCTCTGAGAGCTGAACTAGAGGCTGCTCCTCAGGGGCCCTGACAAGCTGTCTTTAAGGATGCTCTGAGAAGCTTGGACCGTTGTCTAATGGCCCAACATGCAAATCAGCTCAGAAAAGTTTGAGTTGATGCTCAAAGGGGACACCTGCTCTTATTTCACCCAGTGGGAGTTGGGGCTAACAAAACATTTCCTAGGGTAGCTCAAGCATGTCCCAAGGGATTTGGTGACCTTTTCTATTGGATCTTTGCCTGCCAGTCTACTTGAGATGCCATGTGGAGGAGTGTACTGGGGCTGCCCTGCCATTTGGATATAAGTTATTTCAGAAATACTTTTGATTTTTCAAAATTCATATTTTATATCATTATCAATAATAATGCATTTTAAGTTATCATTGTCAGAAAGAGAAAGCAAGTTGGGTGGGTTTTATGAAACTGGTTCATATGGGAAGGAGAAGTTTGTTCCACTGAGTAAGTGGTATTTAAAACAAGTCTATAAATGTTATCATGATCTGGAAAGGATGAAGGGGGTGAGCATGAAACCTTGATGAAGACTGGTAACCTAAACTAATCAAGGAACTTGCCTCATTGTGGATAAGGCAGGGTCTCTCCATCTGCTTAGTCCTGAAACCAATGCTGTATCCACCAGAGGCCCTCAGAGGCAGAAGAGTCATTGTAGTGGATCCTATTCAGAGTGGAGAATAACCATCCCCCAACTCCCACTGGTTCCATCTGCCTTGCCACTGGAAGCTGGGGCTAAGGAAGTCCATCTTCTCCTACAGCAAGATATGGTGTCCACACCAGTCAGCTGGCACTCTCACCCATCCATAGGTGAAGGTTTTCCCCCAACAAAACCAACTTAAAATGTCTGGAAGAAGGGACTGCATCTTCAAATGTGCAGACACCAACACAAGGCTACAAGGAACATGAAAAGTCAGGGAACATGATGCCAACCATCACTTCTCTATGAGCTCCACTCCAGGACTCTATTCTGTTACTTGTGATGGAGTTCAGGGCCAGAGAGGTCCCACTATACTGCTTCCAACTGTGCGCTTGGGTCCCTGATTACTCAGTTATATTTTTCATTGATGTTAACATGCATATTAGCTCTAGTTAACTAAAAGTTTTCTTTTATCACTCTGGGAATTGTTTTTATGCTTTTAAATTTTTATTTTATTTGATTTCAACTAAAATAAACTAGTGGCTTCCCAAAGGATCTAGGTAGAACTAAAATAATGGTCTTTCTACACCTTAAATCTACATTTTTATAAACAGCTGAAAATGAACAGCTGAGAATTACAGCTACACCTTAGGGCAAAGGAGATGAAGAGCGGGAACTTAGATTAGTGTGGTGAGTTTGAGTGGAAAGTACTATACCCTCTTGTTTTTCCTAAATGATTAAATTCTGCTTACCTAGCTCTATTCCCCTAGAAGAAAGCAGGAATAATGGAATTTGAGTATTCCTTGAAAAAACAAAGAACATTTTCAAGAAATTTAAGAAGTTTTCAAACTTTAACCTTTCAGATGTCTAGTAGATATCTCTGGAAAACAGGGCAAGCATCAATTTGTGGATTGAGAAGAAAGATAAAATATTTCAGAGGAGCCAATATGCCATGAGAAAAGTCCTGAAAAACTCCCCCTGAACCCTTGGAACTTTTGTGCCATGATTAGGGTTGGGACAATCCCTGAGCTTTGCCCCCTCCTACAACTCTGGGTGGAGGAGGACAGAAGTAGAGGTGGGAAGTAAAAGGGGTGAAATTTGCATTTTTTTATTAGGCCACCTAGATGACCGATCATTAAGAAGGCTCTAGAAAATAGAGACAAACTTGACCACTTTAAGTTGTTCACTGTCCCATCCTCTGTCTTCTACTCTTTCTCCAGCAACCAAGTGATAACTACTACACACAACCTGCAAGGATACAGTCCTCAGACTCAGATCTGGGGTGGAGGTAGGGAAGGTAATAATAAAATGCACCCACATGTGTTTGGAGCAATCAAGAAATATTGAACTATACCATATTTTGGCAAATAAAAGACTTGGGTAAAGCAACCCCATCAAGGATAAGTAATTTGAAATGAAATAATACTGAAAATTACAAATATACCATGGGAGAGGGCTATATGACTGACAAAAATACATAGCAAGTAAATAATAAATTAGATAACTCTTCTGAAAATGATGTACTCTAGTAAAACAAAAGTATTTTCTGCAGCAAATGATTGTAAATTTAGAAGACACACCAAAAAAAAAAAAAAAAAGAAAAACACTTAAATTTATTTTCAAGGATGAGATAGCAAGAAAATAATAGGTAAAATAAATGTGTCTGGTTACAGGTACAGGATTAAAAAAGTAAAGCAGAACTAGTAATTTTAACATAGAAAAAATGTAATAAGGCAAAGAAATAAATGGAGTCAAAGACACATAAGGTAAGCTTAGTAAAGGGATAAAGTTCAGAAAAAAAGGCAAAAAAAATTACAGATAATTATAGAAAGGATAGAAAATAGGCACCCAATATACATGGATAATTGATGTGTTTTAATTATGGAATTTAATAAAATGGCATATGAAATAAAATGTAATAACATAATGACCAGAATGTCAATATGTTTAAGTGAAGATATGTTAAAACACCCCACCATAACATATATGTGAATTACATATTTATTAAATACAGAAATATTAAAAGATAAATCTATAACAAAGAATTTATATGAATATATATCTGACTTTGTATTTAAAGAGACTATTTATAAGCCAGAAGAAAAAGGAATTCTAAAAGAAACAAAAAAATATAAAAAGAAAGCAACAGAAGCCTAATATAAAGTTTCTAAGTAGAAGTTTTAAATCAATGTCAAACACAAAATTATACACTGAAGAAAATCAATACATGTAAAAATAAAAGTAAACTATAAAAATCAAAGACATCTCACAAAATGATGAAGAAAGCAAATTTAAATTAGAAAAATAATCCATAAAATGAAAAATTAATAAATTGGACCTCATCTAAATTGAAGTTTTTGATCTGAAAAAAAATCTCTATTAAAGGGATGTAATAAATTGAAAGTGGACTTGTGTAATTTAGCAAATGAACTCTTGAGCAATTATCTCAGAGAAATAAAACATTATTATACAGAAACTTGTACACAAATGTTCACAGAAGCTTTATTTATAGTAGCTAAATCAAGGAAATTACCCAAATGTCTTTCAGTAAGTAAACAGTTAAATAAACTGGGGTAATCCGTATTATAGAATACATTCAGAAATAAAAAGCAATAAACAATTGATATACCCAACTTTGATGAGCCTGAAGGGTATTACGCCAGTGAAATAAGCCAATCTCGAAATGGTACTTATTGCATGATGTCTTTTATGTGGTGTTTGCCAAGGGTTAAGGATGGGGTAGAGAAGGTGAGTGCGGCTATAAAAGGGTAACACCAGGAGTCGTGTGGTGATGATTTAGCTGAATTTCTTGATTACAGTGGTGGTTATAGAAGGTCACATAAATGATTCATTCACATCGAGCTACACACACATAAACACAATCACATAAACAAACAAAAATTGTGTGCGTGCGTAACTTGTGAAAACTGAATAAGTTCTATGGATGACACCAATGTTAATTTCCTGTCTTTGGTATTGTACTATAGTTTGAAAGATGTCAACACTGGAGGAAGTTGCCAAGATGTATGAGACTTCTGTATATTTCTTTGCAACTTCCTGTGAACCTATAACTATGTTATAGTTAAAAAATAAAAAGTAAAAAAAATCTTAAGCTTTATTACTTGAAAACCTTGAAAAAAATGAATTGCCCTTTTTCTATCAAATGATTGGCAAAAAAACTTAAAGCCTTATGCCTCCCTCTGCTGGTGGGAATGGAGAGGGATTGAAAAGCCATACTTTGGTGGTTGCAATGTGGATTTCTACTGTTTCCTAAGTAATCTCTGCTCACTATTGGAGTGAAATTTAAAATACGTACACTTGTTGGCCCAAACTTACTACTAAGAAAATTGCCTATAGAACTAATAACTCCGTGTTGTCTAAGGAAACATCTGAATGCCTATCAGTAAGAGATGGCTAAATATATTGTGCTATTTTCATATTATGAAAAATTATGGCTGCCTCTGCCTCTGCCCCTCTGCCCCTCTGCCCCTCTGCCTCTCTGCCTCTGCCTCTCTGCCTCTGCCTCTCTGCCTCTCTGCCTCTCTGCCTCTCTGCCTCACTGCCTCTGCCTCTGCCTCTGCCTCTGCCTCTGCCTCTCGCTCTCCCTCTCTGTACGGTGTCCCTCTGATGCCCAGCCGAGGCTGGACTGTACTGCCGCCATCTCGGCTCACTGCAACCTCCCTGCCTGATTCTCCTGCCTCAGCCTGCCTAGTGCCTGGGATTGCAGGCGCGCGCCGCCACGCCTGACTGGTTTTCGTATTTTTTGGTGGAGACGGGGTTTCACCGTGTTGGCCGGGCTGGTCTCCAGCTCCTGACCACGAGTGATCTGCCAGCCTCGGCCTCCTGAGGTGCCAGGATTGCAGCCGGAGTCTCGCTCACTCAGTGCTCAATGTTGCCCAGGCTGGAGTGCAGTGGCATGATCTCGGCTGGCTACAACCTCCACCTCCCAGCCGCCTGCCTTGGCCTCCCAAAGTGCCGAGATTGCAGCCTCTGCCCGGCTGCCACCACGTCTAGGAAGTGAGGAGCGTCTCTGCCTGGCCGCCCATCATCTGGGATGTGAGGAGCCCCCTCTGCCTGGCCGCCCAGTCTGGGAAGTGAGGAGCGCCTCTTCCCGGCCGTCATCCTGTCTAGGAAGTGAGGAGTCTCTGCTCGGCCGCCCATTGTCTGGGATGTGGGGAGCGCCTCTGCCCCGCCGCCCCATCTGAGATGTAAAGAGCTCCTCTGCCCGGCCGTGACCCCGTCTGGGAACTGAGGAGTGTCTCTGCCCCGCCGCCACCCCGTCTGGGAGGTGAGGAGCGTCTCTGACCGGCCGCCCCGTCTAAGTGAGGAGCCCCTCCGCCCGGTAGCCGCCCAGTCTGGGAAGTGAGGAGAGTCTCCGCCCTGCAGCTGCCCCGTCCGGGAGGTGGGGGGCAGCCCCCGCCCGGCCAGCCGCCCCGTCTGGGAGGTGGGGGGCGCCTCTGCCCGGCCGCCACCCCGTCTGGGAGGTGTACCCAACAGCTCATTGAGAACGGGCCATGATGATGATGGCAGTTTTGTCGAATAGAGAAGGGGGAAATGTGGGGAAAAGAAAGAGAGATCAGATTGTTACTGTGTCTGTGTAGAAAGAAGTAGACATAGAAGACTCCATTTTGTTCTGTACTAAGAAAAATTCTTCTGCCTTGAAAAAAAAAAAACAGAAAAATTATGCAATTTTTGAAAGAAAGGGTTAATTTCATACAATTGATCTGTTTATTATACAATATCAAGTGTAAAAGCAGAAATACAAAAATGTTTTTATAACACGTAATCCAGTGTTTGAGAACCTACAATAATAACCACAGAACTATAGCATACACAATATAGTAAATTTTTTTCATATATTAAATATGATTCACGTTTCTTGGGGTGACTATAGTTTTCTCACTAATAGAAGAACAGTAAGTTGATTAAACCAAAAATCATGACACAATTATATAGGGAGGAAGTCAGAGCACTCTGTTCTTAAGCTCTGCTCTAGGGAGAAACTATTTAACCAGCCTAATGTGCTATATACAGTTTTATTATTATCTAACTGACTGGGGAAAGAGAAATACTCAACTCCATCCAGCACTAGCATCCAGTCCCACCTACATGGGTGGAGAAAGAAGCAAAGAGACACTTGTGATGTTTACAGTCCACAGACATAAGCTCACTAAAGCACTGAACCCTAAGCATAGAAGTATAGAATGTTTCTCTTCCCCTACACCTTACCCCCATATTATTAAAGGCCTATTTCTAGCACTTCCCTTCACCCAATATATTTTATCTGGCTATCAAGTAAAAATTATAAGGCATAATAAAAGGCAAAAAGACATGGTTTGAAGATAACAAGCAAGCTTCGGAACCAGACATGGCAGGGATGTTGTAATTTTTAATAGAGGAGCAATGTAAACTGAAAGATGAAGATCCCAAGAAAAAGCAAAAAAAAGAAAATGCTAGAGATTAAAAAACAAAACTAAACAGAACACTGTAACAGAAAGGACTGGGTATGGCTGGAAAAACAAAGTCTGATCTTGAGAGTATATTAATAGAAATCTCCAAAACTGAAGAGAAAAGAGAATAAAGACTGAAAACCAAAGGCCCAAGAACTGTGAGACATATACAAAAGGTGTTACATTGTTTAACTCTTTTTCTCTTTAGAAAAAAAAAAAAGTGCAGTTTGCTGCCAGCATTCATATAATTTTACATAAACACACTCTTTGAGGCTGAAGCAAATCTGACTGATTTTCAATGTGAAATAAAATATAAAATCCGTTCTTGGAATTATTTCTAAACAGAACTTGTCTCTAATCCTAATATAACAGAAATGTATATGATAATCAGTATTTAATAATTTTTTGTGTGGTAAATTTCAAAGCACAGAACAACATAAAGCGGAATATCACATTCCACACAAAAATATCACGTTTCTCTTCAGATTGTCTTGCTAGGCTCGTCTTTGCACAAGCAGCAAACTTTGCAGTGACCAGTTGGATTTCGCTCCCCTGATGTTGGTGATATCTCTTGGGGAAAGGTCTTCCATACAGGTGAAGAGGTATGACATCATCAGAGCAAGGATGACCTGGAAGACTTTGCTGCCCTGGCCTGTGATGCTTTAAGAGCATTTTTTCAATCAACGTCAGTCTGAAGTTTATATGGCTAATTGTGTGCTCAGGATTGTCCTTCTTGAACAGGGTGTAGAGGTTCATTCAGCACTGTAATGTTTAGAAGGTGGTGAAAGAATTTCTTAGACCGAATCTTGTGCCCTTTGAAGAAGTGAGCATCAAATCAGCTGAGTCCACTGCTCCCATCTTCTCACTATAGTCCACAGTGGCATATGACTTCTTAGTTTTCTCTCCATTTCTGTTGTCTACTTCAATCACAGTATCATTGTGGAATGTTGACCACATTCTCACCTTCTTCTTTTTGAGGTAAACACTGTAGCTGCAAGTGCTGCCAGCAAGTATTCTTGGGCAAAAGGTAAATGGGTTAATGGACATGAAGAAAAAGGAGGAGGACGGGGTGGAGGCGTGGTAAACAAAACCATATTGAGTGAAAATTTTTCTAAATTAATGTCAGATATCGAACCACAGATCCAAGAAGATCAGGAAACACCAAGCAGTATAACTGCCAAAATAAGCAAATAAGCAAAACAAACAAACAAACAAAAACAAAAAACACTTGAGCATATAATTTTTAAACTATAGGAAGTCAAAAACAAAGAAAAAGTATTGAAAAGGAGACAGAGAGAGAGAGAGAGCATGAACATAAGAGAAACAAACCTTTCATGTAGAGGAGCAAATATAAATATTGCATCCAACTTCTTCTGTGAAACAGGAAGCATTCTTCACTTCAATGCAAGCAAGAGGAGAGTAGAGTGAAGTATGTCGTGTTGAGAGAAGAAAACCACCAACCTAGGATTCTGTTTTCTATGAAATCATCCTTCAAAAGGAAATGATAAATGATGGCTTTCTCAGACAAACAAAAATTCAGAAAAATTTGTTGCCAGTAAACATGCTTTGTAATAAATAGAAAAAGAAAAGTTCTTTTGAGAGAAGGAATATAGTATAGGTCAGAAATTTGAATTTACATAAAAGAAGAGCATCAAGAAGAAATAAGTGAGGGAAAAATTAAGGAACATATTTTTCTTAACTGATATAATTTTTTTCAAAATAATAGTAATGTGATTATTATGCATGCTGATGTATACATTTACATATATAAATACACACGTATGCACATATATGCATACTTATTTATACTTACATATAAGTGAAATGAATGACAATAATGCAACAAATGGAAAAAATTAGGAATACTTTGTTATTATCAGGTACTCACATGACCTATGAAATGGTATAGGAGTATTTGAAAGTAGGCTTGGATTAGTTGTAAATGTATATTGAAAACTTCAGAGCAACACTAAAAGAGGTTAAAAAATCTAATATGCTAATAAAGGAGAGAAAATAGAAGCGCATAAGATGCTAAATTAAAACCATAAAAAAGCAGAAACAAGTAGAAGATAAACATAGAAAAAAAACACACCAAACAATAAATCGAAAACAGTGAAAGTGTGGTAGACATTAATCCAAGGCATTGATAATTAGTTGGAGCATCAAGTGTCTAAATGTACAAATTAAAAGATATGTTATTAGAGTGTATCAAAAAGGAAGATTCAACTATATGGTGTCTATAAGAAACCTAATTAAAATATTAAAGCACATATAGATTGAAAAGTATATGAATGGAGAAAGATATACCATGCTAATATTAATCAAAAGAAAGCACAAGTAGCTATATTAATTTTGGAAAAGAAGATCTCAAAGCAAGGAAATTTATCATGGACAGAAAGAGCATTACATATGAAAAAGGGGCCAATTCTTCAAGAAGACAAAGCAGTGCTTAACATATGCGAGCTTAACAGCAGACTGTCAAAATAAATGTGGCAAAAACTGATAGAACTACAAGAAGGTACAGCTGAGTCCACGATTACAGTTAAAGACTTTAACACTTCACTATCAGAAATGGGTAGATCCAGCGGGCTGAAAACCCATAAAAACAGTCAAACTCAACAACACTATCAATGAACTATGTATAATTGCCATGTGTACACTATTTTGTCCAAACACATATTTTTTCAAGATCACATGGAATATTCTCTGTGATAAACTTAATGCCAGGTCATAAAACACACAGTAACGTATTTTAAAAAAATAGAAATCATTCAGTGCCTTCTCTCAAACCACAATGGTATTAAAATACAAATCAATACCAAAATGTAGACAATACCCAAATATGTGGAGATTAAACAGCACACTTCCAAATAACAAAAGAGTTAAAGAAGAAATCTCAGGAGAAATTTAAGAAGATTTTGAACTAAATGGAAATAAAAACATGACTCATCAATATTTGTGGAATACAGCGAAAGAGGTGCTGAGAGGGAAATTTATATTATCAAATGTATAAATTAGAAAGAAGAAAAATCTAAAATCAATAATCTAAGCTTTCACTGTATGAAAGTAGAAAAAGAAGATAAAATTAAATCTAAATTAGGCAGAAGAAAGGAAATAAATATTAGAGCAGATATCAAAAAAATTGAAAGCAGGAAGTCAACAGAAAAAAAAACATTAAAAGCTAATACTATAAAAATACAAATAACATTGATAAGCCTCAAGCCAAGCTAAGGAAACACAGAAAGCACACACATTGCTAACAGCAGAACTGAAAGAGGGGACATCACTACAGATCCTATGAAGCTTAAAAGGATACTGTACGACTATTATAAACAATGCTATGATCCAAACTTGATAACTTTGATGAAATGGATGAAGTCCTTGAAAGAAGCAATCTACCAAAACTAACTAAAAGAAATAGACAGTATAAACTGCCCTATATATATTTTATATATTTAATAAACTGAATAAATAACTAACAACCTTTTTAAAAATAAAGCACCAGATTCAGATGGATTCAATGGTGAATTCTACCAAATATATGAGGAAGAAATTCTTCAAATTCTCCATCTATTTCACAAGATAGAAGCAAAGGGCATACCTCCTAAGTCATTCTGTGAGGGAAATACTAGTCTACTAACAGAACCAGGCAAAGACATTACAAGAAAATAGAACTACAAATATTTCTCATGAACATAGATGCAAAAATCCTCCAAAAAGTATTAGCAAATCGACTATGACAATGTATAAAAAAACACTATACAGTATAGTATGCCAAGTTGGATTTATGCTAGGTATGAAAGGCTGATTCAGTAGTCAAAAATTAATTGATTTAATCCAATGTTAATTCTTGTGCATCCAACACAATTGAGTATCCAGAGAATGGGATATTATTTATAGCCTAAATAAACAAGCTATCAAACCACGAAAGAACATGGAGGAAATTTAAATGCATATTACTAAGTGAAAAAGTCAATCTGAGAAGACTGCATATTATATTATTTCAACTATATGATGTTCTGTAAAAGACAAAATCATAGAGACAGTGAAAGGATCAGTGGTAGTTAGGGATTTGGGAGGGTGGGGGATGAATGGGGGAGGTGAACAGAGAATTTTTAGGGCAGTGAAACTGTTATGTCTGATACTACAAAGATGGATATTTCCTATTATACATTTTTCAAAACCTATAACATGTATGACATCATAAGTGAACCCTAATGTAAACTAAGAAGCCCTAATCTAAACTCTGGGTGATAATGTTGTGTCAATGTAGGTTCACTATGGTGGGGGATGTTGATAACTGGGGAAGCTTTGCCTGTGTCAGAGAAAGATACGAGAATCTGCACTTTCTTCTCAATTTTGCTGTGAACCCAAAACTACTCTAAAAATGAGCTCTTTAAAAACATAACTTCCTCCCCTGCCCGGCCAGCCGCCCCGTCCGGGAGGTGGGGGGCAGCCCCCGCCCGGCAGCCACCCAGTCTGGGAGGTGGGGGGCGCCTCCGCCCGGCCGCCCCATCTGGGAAGTGAGGAGCCCCTCTGCCCGGCTGCCACCCCGTCTGGGAGGCCTACCGAACAGCTCATTGAGAACCGGCCATGATGACGATGGCGGTTTTGTCGAATAGAAAGGGGGGAAATGTGGGGAGAAGAGGGAGAGATCGGTTTGTTACTGTGTCTGTGTGGAAGGAGGTAGACATTAGAGACTCCATTTTGTTCTGTACTAGGAAAAATTCTTCTGCCTTGGGATGCTGTTAATCTATAACCTTACCCCCAACCCCGTGCTCTCTGAAACATGTGCTGTGTCCACTCAGGGTTAAAATGATTAAGGGCGGTGCAAGATGTGCTTTGTTAAACAGATGCTTGAAGGCAGCATGCTCGTTAAGAGTCATCACCACTCCCTAATCTCAAATACCCAGGGACACAAACACTGTGGAAGGCCGCAGGGTCCTCTGCCTAGGAAAACCAGAGACCTTTGTTCACATGTTTATCTGCTGACCTTCCCTCCACTATTGTCCTATGACCCTGCCAAATCCCCCTCTCTGAGAAACACCCAAGAATGATCAATAAATACTAAAAAAATTAAAAAACAAAAAAACAAGAAAAACATAACTTCTTAAAAAATAATTAGTTATTTCCACTATCTAATACAGCAACTTGAATTGTGGGAGAATGAGTAACAGTGAAAGATTTGTCATATTTTCTTTTATTATAAATCAATTATTAAAAATATTATTCTTACAAAATAATCTTTTTTGAATTTCAGAGTATTGCTATTGCCAGTAAAAGTTAATGATAAACCTTTAAAAAGTCTGCCTTGTAATTGGTTATTTTGTCTCAAAATCTGTTGCCCTTAAGTATCCAGACCATGTAAACTTTTGTAAGAATTCTTCTTTCATCAGAAAAAGGCTTTGAAATTTTCTTATACTATCTGGGAGTATAATATTCTTAATTCTAAATGGGAACCTCCCCTTTCTGTATGTTAACATACCGTGCCAAAATGTTGACAACAGCAGCTAGAGTGGATCACTCCACACTGGACAAAGATAAGAATTGATAAAGTTTGTAAGAACAGCCTATGTTTAGATCTAGGTGGGAAGCAGGCCACTGTGTGTCTCCAATCTTGGTCACATTCAACTGCATGAGGACAGACTTATATAGGTCAGTTTTCTTGTAGTTCAACTTTCTTGCCAAATCCTGTTTGGGGGTCCATAAGTGTAAAAGCACATGTAATATATATACATATATAATATGTATGTGTGTGTGTAATAATATATATATTACATGTATACATGTATATATACATGTAATATATATACCTTATATATATTCTCTCTCTCTCTCTCTCTCTCTCTCTCTCTCTCTCTATATATATATATATATATATATATATATATGACTTGGGAAAGAGGAGTCTTGGAAGTGGAATTGCTTGTGTCCATTAAGCTGGATTCAGTGTTCGTAGGGTGGAGTTTGACCCTATTTGTAGGGGATTTGGGGGCTTATCAAGGAAAAAGAGGTGACCACAGAGTAGCAGTAGCACACACATTTATTGGGTGAAACTTTGAGGGGCTCACAGGGACAAGTCCTTCACAGCAGGAGTCTTTGCAGATGTGAAGGTGCCAGGTTGCTATTCAGAAAGGAAGGGAAACAAGAAAACACCTGAGGAAAGGGACACTGGAGAAAGGGGCTTATGTGTCTAGGTGATGTCACACAGCAGCATGATGGAGAGCCTCTGGGTTAGAAAGCTCAAGAGGACAGTTGCAGTTTGGGGGTTTTATTGCCTGAATCTTACTTTATTTATTGGCAGCAGGTGAGGTTTCCTGGCATATGCAAAGCAAGCAGTGTCTAAATGGCAAAATAATAATAATAATAAAATTTGAGGGCTATTTTTGAAATAATTAGTTGTGTAAAATTTGAACTTGATGATAGTAGTTTAAAAATAAACCTGCAGTTTAGCAATACACAACTTTGAGGGCAGTAAACAGAGCTTTGATTCATTTATATAACACTGTTGCACATCCTATAATGTTTGTTCTGTTGACTTTATCAACCCAAACTGTCCAAACCTATAATGCTTTGCACTAGAATACATACCCAGATGTGTGGTTCCTTCCCATACCCAAATGGAGGTTCCTTATGGCATTGATTGTGGTGATGGATTCATGGGTGTGTACTAATTTTCAAACTCATGAAATTGTGTACATTAAATATGTACAATTTTTTGGTATGTCAATTATCTCAATAAAATGGTTTTAAAAATCTCAACTAGCAGAGGGATATTCCCCAAATGCAGATTGTCTAGAGTGGATTCCTGGCTTCAAGACACTTGTAATGAAAGCTGGTTGTCTCTTCTAAATAACTATAAATTGTCACCCAGAAGAAGTAAAATTCATGGCTAACCATTCTGTTTTACAGGTTCAGAGCAGGCTTTGTGGATGTGTTTATCCTCCGAATTTATATATTCTCTCTAAACACTGGGAGACGTTAGTATGTTTACATGTCTGACTTCTCTGGGTTGTCAAGATCCCATTTTTGATCTACCTAATATGAATTTGTATCCAAATGTTTAAATTCTTTTCTTTCCTTTTACTTGAAGTAAATACTAAAAAATCCTACAGAGATACTCAACCCAACCATAAAAATGAGTTTGAGAATCATGTGTTGGCGATGAAGGCTTTTTATCTGTAAATGCTAAACTTTCTGCTGAGCCCAGCTCACCCATGGACTAACTGGATAAAGTGAGACAATAATTCCATTGTCTACCTGAGCATTCCCCACCTTAAAATTTTTAACTGCCTCTAACATCTCTGCTCTAGGCTTACTCTTGAAGACAGGGTCCTCTATCTTGAAAAGAAGTTTTTCTCAAAAGCCAGAGCTTGTTTAATAATTTTCAGTTTTTTTAATGTGAGATTTGTCTATTCCACCTTGTAAGAAAATTTGATTTGCCAGACAAATGAAAAGTGGAAAACTCAAGAAGAGTTTAGAGATAGAATCAAGGACAATAGCATTTTAAACTGTGGGTACATCTGTCTTTGAAATAATTTGTATAAATATACGGAAATGACAAAGTAAATAATTTTTTTGTATTTTTAATTTAGATAAGATAGTTTACTTGCAGAAAAATGGAGACTATGAACCTGGAATTCTCAAATTCAATGTTTTTTCTTCCGGTTTAAATAATTTCAAGAATCTATAAAATACTTACATAAACTTTAAATACAGAAATTTTAAGAGCTTCAGAAAAAATCGACCAAATTAAATCCCTTACACTAGTTTCTGAAATCAACCAAAATTGTGTTTTAACTACTGTGTTTTATTTCCAATGAACAACAATCAAAAACATTAGATAAAGTAAGATGCAATAGGTGAATGAATTGTTTGGTGGTCACTCTTAGTTATAATGAGATAATAATGAGACAATATCTTCATCAGAAAGTGGAAATGGTGACTTTCTGCCTTAAGGGAGCAGGGGACTCACAGTTGTAAACTTCCCCTCCGTCTTGATCTTTCTTGTGCAGGAGCCGAGGGTAATCCACTGTTTCAGTGGTCTTTGAGCAGCAACAGTCCTCATCTTTCTGTAATTCTAGAAATGCTCATACTGGGCTCTTCTAAAACACTTTTTATGCTAAATAGAAAAATAAAGATCAGTAATAAAATAAAAAGAAATAAAATAAAATAACTTATGAACTCCTGGAAGTAGTTGTGGGATAAAATTATAAAGTTTAACAAAAAACTAGAACCTAGAACAACTTACTAAAAACTAATTTAGTCAAATTTTACTCTTATTTTGTATTCTTGCCCTCACAAATTAGGAATTTTCTCAACCCAAAGAATGATTGCCTTTCTTATATTCTGGAATCTTAACAGCCATAGGAGAAATTTGAAACTATGAGAATTTATACTAACCAGTTATCCTAGGAAATCTGGTTACACAAAAATTAACTATTTAGAGTAAAATAAAAGGAAAAATTTGTTGATCCCATGGAAATAATTAACTGAATATTTGCTGGTCAATAAAGCTAATCCTAAGTATGCCCCTAAATAACAGCGACATCGTTGTTTCTGGATTAATGCTAAGTTTTCAAGATCCATTAAAAGTAATTTGCCTTGGATTCAGACTCATAGTATTGGTCATAACTGTAATTCAACTACCACCAGAACTTGTAGAAGACAACAACAAAAAAGAAGGGGTAATGAGAAATATGTTATGAAATGTATCCCAATGTTAACATTTATGAAGGAGAGGGAGGTGTTTTATGAATATCTATTCTCATAGCACTGATATCTTCAATTTGATAAGCAAATACAAATCTTTAAACCAGAATTTGGAACAGGGTAAATATGGCTCTCATGAATTTGACTTGACTGCGTCCTGGGGTTGTATTGACATAAGGACTAGATGGAGGTACATACAGCAGAAGTAATGAAAATTATAATGTCAAATTTTAGAGCCTCCTAACTAAAGCACTAGCTCAGATACTGTATAAAGATGAAAAAAAAGTTATGTGAAAATGCCCTGGAACTGTTTCTGGACTGCCTAGTAACATCCTGGCTGTGGTTGGATGGCTGATTTACCCCAGCTGGAAGTATCAGTATTGTACAGCTGAAATTTGTGGGCACTCTCCTCTGCAGTTGTCACCAAATGGCTTATACTTTTATTTTCAAAATCCACTTGCAATTCTAAGAGCTCTCCTTTTCTCTCACAAAAGGCAGTTGAGGCAAATCAAAGACTTTTGGGATAAAATGTTATCTCCACTATGAATTGACAAAGTCTATTTAGATGTTTGCAAACTAAACATTTTCACTAATTGCTGTGAGTCACACTCCCCCTGAGTATAGCTTGTGTAGAATGCAATCACAGGTATGTAAGTGGAGGTTTGGTATAACCACTAATGGAGAGGTAGGAAGTTAGAAAGTGGGAAAATACCAATTTCTGAATATTACCAAACGTTATCGTGTTAAAAATATAACAAAACCTGCTAATCCTAACATATACCCAACCTTTGTAGCCATGAGTAGGCCTCAATTTTCTTGCTGTTATGCTGACTAAATCTCATTGACAAATGCAGGAAACACAGGGAGGATCAGAATGCACTTTCCAGGTAGCTCTCTCTTCTGTCATGTCTAGTTGCTCAGAGAGCACTTTGATCACCTTCATTCTTCTGCTTGAGCCATGTGAAATAAGGCTGTTACAGTGATGGGGCCAGAACAGTCTGGATCTTCCTGCAAATTATTCCCTGCAGTCATCTAACATCTACCTGTGAAGCCAACTCAGAATCTGCCATGCAGACAGTCCACGTGCAAACACTTGTGGATGGCTGGGCCATCCCAAGTAGGGAGGTTTGTGTTCAGGGTTTTACCACTGTGTGAGGACCTTGCAGACCCTGTTCACAGCAATAAACCCCAACATCCTCAGCCTCCACTTTGCTGAATTTAAGTGTGAAACCTGTCCCTGACCTGCTGCCACTGAACTTGTTTGGGACTCCATAGAATTTGTTAGAAATTGTGTAGATAAGAAGCTGTGGAGACTGGCCTGGCTTCTGCAGGTACCAATCCAAATAGGTGTTTCCATCACTATGCAGGAGGCTCTGACTAGACCTGCAGGAGATGGAGGCCGGCTCTCCCAGAGGGATGGGCAGGGAGAGCAGATGCTGGGTCATCACAATATCCCCACTGGATCCTAAAATAATAACAGTGAGAAGTACAAGGTTACATACAAACAATGTGAGACATTTTTATAATTTAGTTTTATTGTATACGTTAGGCTACTTTTTTGTGTTTGATTAGATTCATACACTACATTTATCCAATATCCAAAAATAATCCAATAATTAAAGGCACAAAGTGGCCTCTTTGTTTTTGAAGTTCTCGACAGTGAAGTTCTTTTTCCTTGTGGCTCGTTCTTAGTTCTTACAGGTCTGAATATTAAATTCCCTTTGCTGGAGGACAAGAAATCTGCATCTGACATGTAGACAGAACAACAAATGGGAGGCTGCAGATTCCACAGAGCTCACCCTCCAGTCCCATTCTCCTCTCTTCTGTCCTTACCAGGGACCCAGAGCATTAGCAGCCCCAGGAGCTGAGCAGGGAGCCTCACTGTGAGAAGGTGAACTGAGGAGTCCTGATCAGTCAAGGCAAGGTTAGAGCTGAGCTTTTATCTCAGACTCACAAGGGAAGGTCTTCCCTAGGGGACAACATGCAAATCCCCTGGTGAGTGAAGCAGTGAAGAAATATCCAGTTGGGGTCGAAGAGTGGGCTTCTTATGTAAGCAAAGTGACACAGAATATCTTTTGTGTTGATGAAACCAAAATAAAATATTGGTGTTGCCTGGCTTAGAAGGGTGACATTCTGAAATACCATGAATCAATGTGGAAGACACTGTGACTGCAGCCTGTCACTCTTCATTGCTGATGCAATGGAGATTGTGATGATGAAGATGTGTATCAATCTTTAGGTGGTGAATAGGCTTTCTTCTTGGCTCCACCCAGCTAATTCTGAGGAGGAACTAGCTCTCACTAACTCTGGTGCTCATTGATAGAATGTCTCTAAGTATCAGGATGAACTTGAAACAGTTCCAGGGTTATTTGGCTGTGGTTGCAAGGCTGATTTCCCTCAGCTTGTATTTCACTGTAGCTGGTATTTCTGGGCACTTGGCTCTACAGCTGCCATTAAATGGCACTAAATGATGCCCCAGTGAATAAGCTAGCTGTAATGTGTGCTTCGTAAACAAGGAGAAAATTAGAGTTCACGGGAAGAGGAATGCATATTCCATTCCATTGTATCTAATGCATGTCGTTGTCTTTGAAGGGAGGAAGGCCTTGGTAGGCCTCTTTGGATTCTAGAGGCAAGAAATTCTGTACCTTGGAATACTGTACTGGCTCACTGACCGACTGATACACGAGTCAGCCAGCCTTGAGTGGGACCCGGGGCAAAAAAAGGGCTCTGCAGCAGGTTCAGCCTGTAGCACAAGCAGTCCTGCCTCTCAGGCCAGTGCAGATGCAGATGAATTGGACAGCACAATCAACCATCTGGACATAATTGACACTTCGAGAACACTCCACCAGCACAGCAGATTGCATAATCTTTTCAAAAAATTTACTAAAATAGACCATATTGTTACCAGAAAAGGGGATTTTGATTCAAACTCCAAGAGAGGATTCTTGGATTTCATGCAGGAAGAAATTCAAGGAAAGTTGGAAAGTGCAGTGATAAGAGAGAATTTATTGAAAATTACTCCATTACAGAGTAAGGCATCCTCAGAAAGCAAGCAGAGGAACATACCGTCTTTAAGTTTTTCTTATATAGGAGTGTCGTCTATGTAAAGACTAAACTAAGCTGTGCCTACATGCGGATGAGCAGACATTACGACAAAATTTATTATTCTGTTGATTTAAGGGAAACTATTCTTGACATTCTAGTGTGTTATCTTGGAAATAAGGACTGTGTCTTGCAAAGAAACATATTCATTGGGGCAATGTGTTATCAAAAAAAAGATTTTATCTACTTATGATCCAATAATTTAGACTGACTTCAACAGATTTTTTTAATGACAAAAAGCAGAAGATGGTATAAGAGGAAAATACAATACAACAGAAAACACAAGCTATTATAACTCTTGCTTCATGGATTTTTACATATCTATTAGACATATGCTGGGTATATGTGTGCAATGATAATCTAAAAACTGGATGCTAACTAGCTTAAGGAATGCCTGCATTACACTGAGTCTTGCCCACTTTTCCAATTATAAACAGAAAGCTACAGTACTATTTGTATGAGTATCAAAACTTTTAGCTGCCTGAGATAGAGGTAAAGAAGATTTACTGAGATAAAAGCCTTGGAAGTAGTAGAGATTTGTCCTATGATGTTATGGCTGTTGCTGTGGTTGCCGTTGTTAGGAAATACAGTGGGAGTGAAAGCAAGATTGACAAGCTCTGCTCTTCCTCATACTCACAACCCCCTCTAGAGATGGACAGATGGTGGTACAGGAATCTCTGACACCTCTTAGAAGTCTTTTGCTCTTTCCAGAATGTTTCCTGACAAGTATTGTTTTGAGTCACAGATTAGGTGAAACTGGGTGTAGAAGAAAGGACTAGAGCAAGGGAAGAAGTTTTCCATCCCAGATAGTTGTTGTAGGAACAGGGAAATGGAATTTTTCATAGATTTATGCCACATTTCTATCATGTTGGGGAGAGAGGCATCAAACCAGGCTCATTCCTGAAAGAATCATTACATTATTTTAGAGAGAAAGAACTACAAATTTCTTGTCAAATAGATGTTTAAAATTCAAAGCTACTGATTTTTTTTTTTTTTTTTTTGAGATAGAGTCTCGCTCTGTCATCTGGGATGGAGTGCAGTGGCACGATCTTGGCTCACCACAACCTCTGTCTCTCTGATTGAAGCAATTCTCCTGCCTCAGCCTCCCAAGTAGCTGGGATTACAGGTGCAGGCCAACATACCTGGCTAATTTTCGTATTTTTAGTAGAGACGGGGTTTTGCCATATTGGCCAGGCTGGTCTGAAACTCCTGACCTCAGGTGATCTGTCTGCCTCAGCCTCCCAAAGTGTTGGGATTACAGGCTTGAGCCACTGCACCAGGCCCTGCTGATGTATTAATATTATTCATCTTCTTGAATACACCAAATGGTAAAGTGCAAATCCACACTTTAAACTTGAGATTTCTACTCCTATGTAAATTATACTAGTGAGGAACAAAAAAATTCTCTATTGGTTGGGAGATGATGTTTGACAGTGGTCAGTTTGTGAAGTGGAGGCTTACGTCACAGTACTTTTTACAGTATTGCATATAAACATGAATGTCCTCATACCCAGAAGAATCAGCATTTCTCATGAGCCATATTACCACCAAGAAAGAAGTGAATTGAAGCCTGTGACTACTTGATGAAGGGTGTATAGAAGAGGGAAAGAAAAAGGACACAAAACACAATATTGTAAGTGGAAAGGAGAAAGTCATTACACAGCCTATAAGAGTAAAAAAATAAAGAGAGGATATTATGAGTAATTTTATGTCAACTGACTTGACAAAAGTGGTGCAGGGCAGGTTCTTGGCTTCACTAGGAAGGAATGCAGCGTAAGCTGGTGGTAGAAGAAAACAGCTTTACTGAGGTGGCAGTGTTACACCTCTGTGACTGCTCTTGTGGAGCAGAGCTACCCCATAGGCAGTGTGCCAAGAGCAGTAGCATAGGGCAGTTTTGCAGTCATATTTATCACTGCTTTTAATGACGTGCTAATTAAGGAGTGGGTTATTCAGAAATAACTAGAAAATGGGCAGTAACTTTCAGGTTTTGCCATGGCAATGGTAAACTGATACGGCACTGGTGGGCATGTGTTATGGACAGGTGCTTCCAGTGTCTCTTCCTTGTGTCACCCACTCTTCAATCTGGTCCAGAGTTGAGTCCCACCTACCTCCTACCTCATTGCCCCTTGGAGATTAGATACTCCTCCTTAATCTTAAGGGGACTGCAGAAGAGCAGAGTCCCTTTTCTGTGAGTGCTTCCTTCTGACTTTATGGGGGCAGGCCTTCCCTAGCATTTGAAGAGTAAAAATCTTTGGTATCTGAACTAAGGGGCCCAGTGGCAGGATGCTTTCATTTGTGGGGTCAGAAGACAGAATGGATTGAAAGACTTATGACGGACCGTATCATTTTTACATGAAATTTAGAAGATATAAACTTTACTAGGAGGTTAAACAAGAAAATTATAATTGGAAGAGAGAGAAAAATTAATGCTCCTATGTCCACCCACAGAACCAAGTTGTTAATCTATGTGTTTGCAAAACAACAGCCTTAAGTTTTCTAGGTTTTATAAATGGAGGTTGTGGTGTCCACCTTTTGTGCCTGCAGGATCTCATAAGAAACAGGTTTAATCCTGGACAGCTAGTGGCTTCCTGAAGCCTAACAGTAGTTGGAATAATTAAGAATATCTGGTAAGGGCCCCTTTATTCTGATTATTATTGATTCTTGGGGGATCATTTTGTTGTTGTTGTTTTTTAAGACAGAGTCTCGCTCTGTTGCCCAGGCTGGAGTGCAGTGACACAATCTCGGCTGGGCTCACTGCAACCTCTGCCTCCTGGTTTCAAGCTATTTTCATGCCTCAGCCTTCTGAGTGGCTGGGATTACAGGCATGTACCCCCATGCCTAGGTAATTTTTTGTAATTTTAGTAGAGATATGGTTTTGCTATGTTGGCAAGGCTGGTTTTGAACTCCTGGCCTCAAGTGATCCACCCACCTCAGTCTCCCAAAGTGCTGAGATTATAGGCGTGAGCCACTGCACCCAGCCAGTTCCTTCTTTTTAAGTTTTTCATAAGACTAAGTCTTTTGGTTAAACAGAGGAGCTATTATTTTGTTTTGTGGAAAAGGGCACTATTTTATTTTCATAATTTTAAAAGCCCTTTTGAATCTGGCCTACATTTCAAACAGGGGTGGAGCAAGGTGTGTCTGACTCCCTGTTTCCCACCATGGCTTGAGTTAGATTTTTTTTAGGTTTCTTTGGTAGTTCCTTTGGCCACAGAGCTTGGAATGAAAACATTTATAGCCAATTAAATATTTTAGGCCAGACAGCATGGAGGTGGGCAGGCACTCATTAGCCCTTAAGCAGGCAGATCATGAGGTCAGGAGATACAGGCCATCCTGGCTAACATGGTGAAACCCCATCTCTACTAAAAATAAAAAAAATTAGCTGGGCATGGTGGCATGTGTCTGTAGTCCCAGCTACTCGGGAGGCTGAGGCAGGAGAATCCCTTGAACCCAGGAGGCAGGGGTTGCAGTGAGCCGAGGTCGCACCACTGCACTGCAGCTTGGGTGACAGAGTGAGACTCCATCTCAAAGAAGAATATATGTATTTTTAAAGCTGTATAAAAATAAAAAAGTAAGGCCCCAAATAAGGTTATATATGTTAAAAAACCAAGTACGTAGAATAATACTATACTGGGGGAAAACATTGCTTCCAGAGACGCCTAAGACAAAACACTTTAGCATCAAGTCCGCAACAACAGTCAGAACCGGAGGTGAAAAAGCCACAGGAGCTGATGAAGAAGCAAAAGGAGACAGCAATGATCTCAGGCCTTTTTAAAGGGAGAATAAGCTGAAAGCAGCAAAACACCACAGTTGAATCTCTAAGACACTAATCTCAGAAGTTTTAAAAGAAACTCATTATTGCATCAAAGGCAAAATTTTCTGTTTTACTTTTTGTTTGTTTGTTTTTCGAGATAGTCTCACTCTGTCACTCAGGCTGCAGTGCAATAGCACAATCTTGGCTCACCACAAGTTCTGCCTCCCGGGTTCCAGCCATTCTCCTGCCTCAGCCTCCCAAGTTGCTAGGATTACAGGTACGTACCACTGTGCCTAGCTAATTTTTGTATTTTTAGTAGAGATGGGGTTTTACCATGTTGGCCAGGCTGGTCTTGTACTCCTGACCTCAAATGGTCCACCCGCCTCAGCCTCCCAAAGTGCCGGGATTACAGGCATGAGCCACTGCACCTGGCCTGTATAATTTTCAATAATGTAGCAAATTAATAACTTAAGAAAACCCAGTTTCAATATGCAGACGATTTTCTAGAAAGTGACTGGGCCATCATTGTTCTCATCTCAGATTTCCACTTCCTGTATAGAAGGTGTAAGAAGAGGTAGCAAGACATTATGAAACTAAATTGTAAGCATTTGTTAGTGAACAAAATATGACTAAAGCGCTACTTTTTTTAAAAAATTTTTATTTATTGTTATTATTTTTTGATACAGGGTGTCACTCTTTTACCAGGCTGGAGTGTAGTTGTGCCATCTTGGCTCACTGCAACCTTCGCCTCCTGGGTTTAAGCAATTCTCATGCCTCAGCCTCCCAAGTAGCTGGAATTACAGGCATGCATCACTATGTCCAGTCTATTTTTAGTAGAGACAACACTTCACAGTGTTGGCTAGGTTGGTCTTGAACTCCTGACCTCAAATGATCTACCCACCTCGGCCTCCCAAAGTGTTGGGATTACAGGCGTGAGCCACCATGCCCGGCCTTAAAGCAGTATTTTTATTAAATAAAGTGTAGAAGAAAAAGTGTAAATAAAGTGACAAAAAGAAAACACAAGGCCGTTATGGAAAATGATAACTTTAGGGAAGAAAACAAGAAAAGGCAAACCAAGATTCCCATAGGGTGAGTCTCCAATCCACAATCCTCAGACAAATGTCAATGCTGGAAACCCTGGAGCATCCAGGGAGTGACCGAAAATACCAAATGCTGAAAACCCAGAGTACCCGCGTATCAGCCTATGAGTGTCCCACACCAAATGCCAGGAAACCCTGGAGTATCCAGGGGCTGACCAGTGCAGAAAATCCTGGAGCCTCAGTGGGGTGGCCAACAGTGAGCCCCAAAGGCCTGGTTGGGGCCACAGAACAATGTGACTCTGGCTTCTTAGAGTCAACAGAACAGGAGAATTCTTACATCCAAGTGTCCTGCCTTAAACAATTGCACAAACATAATTAGTAGGGACCCAAAGAAAAAACTGCAAAGCAAACACATATATCAGGGTAGAAAATAAGATAAATTGGCTAATGGATAGATAAAATGGCATTAGAGGAGAAATGACTAAGAGAAGGAGCAATGAGGATGTAGTCAGGTGTGCTATGGGGGACTTCAAATGGACTATTTAGCCAAAGGCCTTATTTCCTGGATCATCTGACATAGGGCAGGTGGGTAGATGGGACACTTACAGGTGTGCAGGAGCCAAAATGGTGCCAAGCAGTGTCTAACGTGGGGCCTGTGTGAAGATCTCTCCAGGCCCCCCAGCTTGGGTGGGTTGAGCTCCCGTGGGTGAACTGGTGCATGCAGCAGCTGGCCTGCATGAAGCAGTGGCTCTGTGGCCACTTACCTAACTGCTCAGCTCCACCGCCTGTCAGGAAAGATGATGGCTCTTAAAACAGCCTTTGGCTAGTGTTAACAGCTCTGCAATGTTAGCAACTCTGTAGCTTTGCTCGCTGTAGTGCTGATCCCCATCACACCCTCTCTCACTGATCACTGTCTTGCCACTTCTCCAATAGCTGTCTTGCCCATTGCTGATCGCTATGTCCATCTTCTCACAAAATGCCATCTCTTGCTGTCTCTTGCTGTCTTGCTTCTCCGCTGTTTCCACTGACTCACTGGCACATCAAACGCTGCCTCTCACCATGTCACATTTATCCTCCCTCCTCATTAAACATCCATCTTCATGTCCAGCCCTTGCATCACCAGGCTGATGTCTCTGTACTGGGCCAGGTACTGGAGAGTATTGTTCCTCCATCTTCACCATTAAGCCATGGTTCTCTCAAATCAAACCTTCTCACTGCACCAATTTTGCCAAGAAGGTTTGCTGTGCACTGGTTGCCAACTTACCCAAATCCGGTGACACACAGCACCCATGCACAACCAGTTACATGAAGTGGATTACTACTTACAGAGAGTCAGCCAGAGAGAGCACAAAGCTGCGGGGACCTGATTGACACTAGACTGTGTGTACCCCACAAGGACTGCAGCTGAGGGACCCTGGAATACAGCCCACCCTGGGTTTTATGTCTTAGAATCACATGACACACTGGGCTAGAGTGTTGAAGGAATTCCTGTTTCTAGTAGGGACAGAAACGGAACCCAGGCTGTTCTGGCCAATCATGCCCTATCTCAGAATGTTACATTTCCAGAACATTCTACAGTTATTCCAGAAAACTACAATCAAGAAAGGGAAGGGGACTGGGTTGATTCAAGACAAAATGAAAACTATTCTGCAAATACCATAGTGAAATCACAGCTCAGTAATCTTTTTGTGACTGGCTTATTTCATTTAGCGTAATGTCCTCTAGTTTCATCCATGTTATAGCATGTGTGAGAATTTCCCTTTTTAAAGCTAAATAATATGCTATTGTATGTATATATCACATTTGGATTACCAGTTCACTCCTTTGTGAACATTTGAGTTGCTCTACCTGTTGGCTACTATGAATAATTCGGTTCTGAATGTGGGTATACAAATATCTCCTCAAGTTAATGTCTTCAATTACTTGGGTATATGTCCAAAAGTGGAATTGCTGGATTATATAGTATTTCCATTATTAATTCTTCGAGGAATTGCCATCTGGTTTCCCACAGCAGGTGGGCCATTTACATCACCACGACAGTGTCCACAGGAGTTCCAGTTCCCTAAGTTCTCACCATGACTGGTCATTTTCTGTTGGAAAAAAAAATCCTAATAGGTGTGAGGTGGGTTTTGTTTTTATTTTTCTAAGGATTAATAATATTAAGCATCTTTTCCTATGCTAGTTATCTAATTATCTCTAAAGAATATTCTCCAGAGAAATGTCGATTCATATACTTTTCTCGTTTTTAATCAGGTATTTTATTTTAATGTTGACATGTAGGACTTATTTTTATGTACTAGATATTATTAACCCCTTATCAGATATACGATTTACAAATATTTTCTTCTATTCCACATGTTGCATTTTCACTGTGTTGGTTATGTCTTTTGATGCCCATTTTACATTTTTATGTAGTCCAATTTATCTTCTTTTCTACTTTTGCCTGTATTATGGTATTAAAGGTGTTAGTATTCAAATGTCTATAAATACTGACTTACTATGCTGAGAAGGTCACTCTAGACCATCTCTCTGATGGTGGAGCTAAGAATTTTACACTCTCTCATTTTGTACCAGGGCACAGTGCAGCTAGGTGAGAACACAGTGGCTTTCTCGAGCTTATTTGTCTTGCATTTTTGGCGACAAGGATTGTTGTTCACATTGGCCTCCTCTGGCAGGTCCACCTGGAAAGCATTATATTTAGCAAGAAAAAAGGAGGCTGTGAATGATGTCAACTGTGTATATTCCCTGTTGCAAGTGTCAAATCCATGAAGCATAAAAGGATTTACTAGAGGATATTAAATTCCTTGCAAAGTGTTGAAAAACCTGAAGGAATAGGCTCCAGGCAAAGCCTCTAGAACAATTCCAAGAATGGCACTGCTGGCGCAGGCTGGGGAGGAGCTCCTGCTGCCTGAGACTCCACATTCAAGCTGTCTCCTGCAGGAAAGAGAGCAGCTCTTCTCACTACTGCCCCCTGAAGGACAGCAGCTCTGCTATCAACTACTAGAGACCTGACCCCTTTCCCTGCAGCCCTGCCTGTGTTGATTATATCTTCATGTCAGACTCATGTAGATTCATCTGTTTTCAAGGGTACAGGGGTTATTTCTGCCCAAGTCCACACTGTGGCTTTCTATCATAAATACACGTTTCTACACTTGAATTTCCAGGAATTACTAGTATCAACAGCAAAATGCTACAACCCAACATAAAGATTTCCTTTACAAAGAACATCATGCTCCCCATGTAGCATTGTGCTCCCCAAAATGTGGGGAAACTCCAATCTGTTCATCCCAACACCATCTAGGAAAAAATGTTCTTCTCTCATGAGCCATTAATCTGTCTACTTATTGTTTAATTTTTGGCCTAAATTGTAAAGGTGGCTAAAAATAGCACTTTGAATTTTTTTAAAGAAAGGGTATATAGAAAATATTAAATTATTTAAAATACATATATGCATGACACATTTAGTTATTGTCACCAGCTTCTTTCACATTTATTTTATTCTGTAGTTTCTGGCAATACTTTCTCTATGGTAGAGTCTGGAAATGCTACTCCTCATGTCCTTGGCTTCCTAAGTCCCAGATGTGGTGAAGAATGCACATCAGCTGTGTTACTACAGAATGCTTTTGGATTGAGATGGGGGAGGGGACGTGCTTGATCTCACTCAAATGTGCTCAATTTCCTGGTCTGGGTCACAGCCAGGCAGCCCAGTCCTATGGGCACAATATCTTCACTCGCCAGGTTTCTATCAAAATGAGAGTGTCCTTCTTGACTGTGGAAAACACGGGGCAGGGAGAGGATCAAGAAATAGCAAAAGGAGTATTTGGACTTGCCTGAGCTGCCACTCTGGTTTCCCCAAATGTTTTCATTCCATTTCATTCATGATAATAAACACCTTTCTGCCTAACCAGCCATAATCACTTTTCTTAGATCCAGCTGATTCAGTGATAAAACTAAAGGGAAAAAATAAATACAGTTTTCAACGTTTAAGCTGACCAGGTGGCTGTCTCTGGTGTTTATACCTCCATATCCCACTATGCATTTCATCTTCTCTTTGCCTCACTGGAGATCCAAGTGCAGGGAATGCTTCACGTGACTGTGATCCCTAGAACTTCATCTTCATGACTGTTGAAATCTTCTCTGAGTTTTACCAGTGGAAATGGCAATAAATAGAAAGATTCCAGAAGGTCCCCTAGGGTCCATATTTTCTGTACTTCTTCTCTAAAATAAGTAAAATCAATTCCATTTGCTCTTGCTTTATATTGGCTACATCTATGTGCCCAGGACACACCCTAAAGCCCTGTGTTGACAACTTATCCAGTATTGTATTAAGTCTAAATGGTCACATGCTTATCATATCATTTCTTCCAATTTCATGGAATAATTGTCATGTCAACTCTTTGGATTAAGAACCATCAACCAGATAACCACAGCCCTGAATAAATAGAAACAGAATATTTCAAGCTGTTCAGTTGGCATAACAGTGATGAGTCTATAGCTCATTTTCAAGATATAAATATTCTATTTATGGGAGTAAAAGCACGAATCATGGTTAGTGTTTCAGAGCCTCCACCACATCTGACAGCATAGCAATTCAACAGCACAAGGTTTGTGTGCCAGCTGTGCCTGACTAATAATGTTTTTTTCCCCTGTCTATAGGGAAATCTGCACCTGTGCACATGACAAGAGCATGAGCTACACTTTTTTCACTTTTTCTGAGGTAAATACATTGCTTGATCCAAAACCGTATTATGGAATAATTTCCTGACTCTGATGAAAGCATTTGGAAAATCCTCAAATAATATTTGTGCAGAAATACAACCAAAAAGAAAGGCAAATTCATATATAGGAAAATAACCAGTGCTCTCCTCATGTTACATGAGGTCCACTAGTATCACCTGACCCCAGCTGTTCATCTGATCCCTGATGTGTTGTACAATGTTAGGGGTTCAGGAGGGGTCATTCTTCTTGGCAAATGAGGTGTTCAGAAGAGCCAGTAGCCCTTTAAGTCTCAGTTAGTTGAAATTCATAATTGAGTCCCCAAAGGGACCTCCATAACATTGGTTCATGAGACTCCCTGGTAAAGCTGGGAAAGGTGACTGACTGAAGTCCATGTGTTGAATCATCCTCATTATTAAAAGCCCCTGCTCATTAATAGCATTTTGATTAATATTCACTGGGAAAGCATTTTTTTTTTATTTTGGCTCATCTTTGAAAAGTCTAGTCATAGCTTTTCAATCACTTTGTCTGCAATCGTTTTGTTGCATTTCTTTGAAGGCCTGATGATCTGTCAAAACCAACAGCCAATATTATTACATTGCCGTTATGTTGGGAAAAGCTGAATGTTGGGAGAAGCTGAGGCAGGGCTTGCATGTCTGACGTAATGTAAAAGAGTCTTGGAACACGTCCGGGGTCCAGGGTCTAAAACCCCTTGTGGCCTTTAGTACACCAAGCTCTGTGCTAAAGGGTGGAAGGCTACCCTGACGCACCATAATCTAAGCCCAGGGCATAAAATCCCTTGTGACTTGGATAGAATCCAGGACTCGTGGCTCTGGAGTGTGTCTACACTTGCTGGCTCCTTTCTCTTTGCTCTCCAAGGATCGATTGTATCTTGAGTTAAAAGAACCTGCTCTCCATTATCTCAAGTAGTAGAGCAAATGCTAAACCATCACAGGTGTAAATCATGTGCTTAATGCAATGCATCCTTTTGGCCTCCACATTCTTACCACGTGTTTCTTTGTTGGATTACCAATAAATAGCATGGGATCCCAGGGCTCAGGGCCTTCTTAGCCTCCATACACTACGATGGTCCCTGGTGCCCACATTTCTCTCTCAAACTGTCTTTTTCTCAATCTTTGACTCCACCAGACTTTGTCACCCCCACGACCTGGTGTTGGGTCTGATCACCCCAAAACTGTTATCGTTGCAATGTGATCATCAGATATAACCCTTGCAGTTTACTCATTGTTATGATTTTTACATTTGCAGGGCTTCCTTGACAATGGCACTAATGTGACGCCATCCAGCATCCATTATTGTGAGAACTCTATTTGGAATATCACCATTGTGGGCATGAACAGAATGGAGACTTTCATAGGATGCAATGTTTAATATTCAACATTAGTCAAAATTTGTTCTAGTCCTACCCTTGGAGCTCCATTGAGTTGGAAAAATATAAATAAATTTATTTTAAATATAATATAAATGTAAATATAAACAAATTTAAATATAATATAAATATAATATAAATATACATAAATTTAAACATAATATAAATATAAATATAAATAAATAAATAAACAAAAAAATTTTCTGTAGCAAGAGTAAGAACTACATGTGGTCCAGAATACCATTATTTTATGGAAGGTTACAAAAAATTTTAAATGTATTTAATTCAGATAAGAATTTTATAAATATGCATATATTGCATATATGATAGAATAAATGTACTTAAATATGAATACTATATATATTTGTAGCCAACATTTTATCAAAAACATATATATTCACTTCTATGTATCTTATATACATGTATGCATACTTTTCCGTAAGATAAATTTTAATTTTTTATTGAAATACTAATTAGTTTTAATTTTGTCTTTAATTTTCTTTTAATAACTTCATAATTTGATTACTGGATATTCACATTTAAATCACCAATTTAAGAAAAAATACATGTGTGTACATATAGGTAGAGGTGTAAATACTGTATCAGGAAGCTTTTATGCATTACTGATTGGTAACTGGTTAAATACACAACTCAGTGACTGATAACAGTAAACATTTGTTTTCATGTTCACGGATGCTCATGTTCACAATCCTCTGACTGATCAAGGAAGGGCTCAGCTGAGTGGATCCTCTGAAGGACACAGACCTCATCTTCAGCCTATAGATATCAATTGTCTGAGGACTAAGCTGAACACCAGTGACTACACATGATACAAGATTCTTGTGGCAGGTCACAGGAGTGAACATCCCAAACCAAACTGGACAGTTGAATTTAAGTCCAATAATTTCTAACATAGCTTCAGATATTTAAAATATATTCCTTTATTTCAGTGAGTACAAATTTTCAAGAAAATGTTTACTCCATTTAATTATAGAGGTGTTTGATCATTCCATGGACAAATAATTATGTTTTCATCCTTTACAATCTTGAAAATATTTGCAAATGTAAATTTGCATTAATAAGAAAATAAAGCTGGATGTGTTTTCAACATGTGGCTTTAAATATAATTTTTTAAAATGGCCTCATTGGGGGAAAATCATTTTAACTTATATGAATATCCTTTTTTGCCTCTCTTGTGTTCTATAGAGTGGCCCAATAAGAGGTCCTCCCATGAGATTTGGAATCAGGAAAGGATGGCTCAATATTCTCCATTGGTACCTAGGACAGACACAGGGACAGAGATGAGGACTGGAGAAACACCTGGAAAGATGCTGTAGGAAGCTGAGAGCATCAGCACCCCCACCCCTAAGCTTCCAGACAGGACTGAGGACCACATGGTTAGATAGCCCATACTTCAGGGGAAGATGCATTCAGTTTTCTGAGGGAGCAACAGAGATTCCTGCTTCTAATATCAACTTTCCTGACTACTATATCCTTGGCTTTGAAAGGTTGTAGTGGGAAAGTTAATCGTAGGAATTGGGTCATTCTTGTCATACCCAACAGAGCCAAGAAACCAGGAGGGAAAGACACTCAGGGTGCAAAATATTGTCTGAAGAATGTAATTGAAATAGGCCCTATTATCCCATGGAACTAATGTTTATGGTTTTTTGAAGGAACATAGAAATTGACTCCTCCAGTCTTAAAAACTCAAGATAGTTATATTTTTCTTATCTGAGGAGTTCTTTTGTCAGGAAACCAACCATCAGGCCTCCAGATACTATCAAAAGGAGCTGAAACTTACATATCACTGAATCGGGACAGTGAGACATCAGACTCTTCACCCATTGTGATTGCCTAACTGACCTCCTGCTTCCTGTTGACCAAATCATCTTCCTTACCCCTCCCTAATTCCTGTTTTCCCACATTTCTTCCCTGATATATATACCCCTCATTTTAGTAGTTCAGGGAGATACATTTGAGAATGGTGTCCCATCTCCTCGGCTGCAGCACCTGATTAAAGCCTGTTCCTTGGCAATACTTGTCTTAGTGATTGTTTTTCTGTGTGGTGAGCAGCAGGATCTACACTGAATCCCTGGCATTTCAGTAACAAAATTCTCTGCAAGCTTCACTGCCTTTGGCTTATTGTAACCTGAAATCAAATTTATCCACAACTTCTGAGATAACTTGATATAACTGTAGGATTCACTTTGTCCACCACTGCTTCCCAGTCTGAGCTTGCCAGCTCCCAACCCTTCCTAGTGCCCATGAACTTTCTCAAAGAGCCATAGGTAACATGTTCCCTTTTTCGTAAAACTCTAACCTTCTCTTTGTTCTTCCAACATATTGAAGACCACTGAGTTTTCCTGTATGCCCCATTTGGCAAATATTTCTTTGCACGTAAAACATTAAATTTAGAGATTCATCTCTACATTTTATTTAGACTTCAGTAGTTTAGACTCTAATTGTCTGTATTAAGACAATTCCTGCTTTGAATATCTATAGTGGCCTCTTCTCTGTTATATAAAGTCCAGCTGAAGCCATAAACTAGACTCTTCAGGTGTCATGATCTCTGTCTTTATTAAATCAGGAGAGGCATTGCTAGATCTGTGCAGTTGGGGCTGAGAAAGAGAAAAGAATTAGGGTGCAGAGGTGACTCCATGTCCCCCTCTACCAACACCATCAGAGTGTGGCTGCATCTGAGGACCACTCTCAGCTGATAGAGGCATCAGGAGGAGCAGCTGGGGCAGCCCTGCCTCACACATCTGCTTCCCTGGGGGTTTATGTTCGGGTGTGTAACACTGTGGGAGAATAACTATTATACTGTTGGCAGTAATAAGTTGCAAAATCATCAGGCTGCAGGCTGCTGATGGTGAGAGTGAATTCTGTCCCAGATCCACTGCCGCTGAACCTTGATGGGACCCCACTTTCTAAACTAGACGCCTTATAGATCAGGAGCTTAGGGGCTTTCCCTGGTTTCTGCTGATACCAGGCCAACCAGCTACTAATACTCTGACTGGCCCGGCAAGTGATGGTGACTCTGTCTCCTACAGATGCAGACAGGGTGGAAGGAGACTGGGTCATCTGGATGTCACATTTGGCACCTGAGATTGGAAATAGAAACACAAATATTCATACTATTGATCATATTATAGGAAGACTTCCCTGAATAACCAGGCAGTACTGAGCACACTGGGCTGAGTAAATTCCTAGTGTTCTCCTTCCTTACCTGGGAGCCAGAGCAGCAGGAGCCCCAGGAGCTGAGCGGGGACCCTCATGTCCATGCTGTGTCCTGACTGGGTCTGACTCCTGCACAAAGTGTGACCAGCCTATTAATAAGGCTTCAGGGCAGGAGGTTGTGCTCTGGGAACATGCAAATGAGCAGGGGATGGGGCAGGCTGGGCACAGCTGCAGAGCTGGCTCATCTCAGTAACTCAGCACCAGCTCAGTGTCCCCAGGTGTCCCAGGTAAGACCAGGGTAGCACAAATTTGTCTGCAGAGAATGTGTTTCTACTGGGGACTATTTTATTATGAGAAACAATTTTTAGGTATTTTTTTGAGAATTTTAAATATTCCTCAGGAGCCGATAGAGTAATGTATTTCATTGGTGTATCAGGATTATTTAGGAGAATATTCTTGTTTGTAGGAAACACATAGTAAAATGTTAGATGGTAGGATTCTCAAGTCTTCAAAAGACTCTCATAAGATTCCGGGTAGGGAAGGGGGTAATTGTGCTATACCTGCAACATTTCTGTGAGTTTAACATTGTTCCTTTCTAAAAAAAATTAAAAATAAAATGTATCGGCATGATGCTATATATTTGTAAGTATTAGGTAATGGTGTTATGCCTTTGTTCTTACTAGTATTAGATCAAGCAATTTATTACAGATATACAAAGATGATACCGTGTTGTCTCCATGCATGCAGCACTCACAGATCCACCACTATCAAGAACTGCAGGTCTCTTTAATACCCAGAGACTAAATGAGGTGCACCTTATTCTTGTTTTGGGTACCTTCATAGTCTACCTTCTTTTCTGCCATTGGGTATTATTTCCCAAAGTTCATCTGTCTTAGTGAGGGTGGCCACTGCACGGAGCATGTCCCTGCCATGCACCATCAATGACACTTTCTTCTTATACTTTTTATCAGTGCATGGGGACATCATCCTGACCCAGACACCAGCCTCCCTGTTAACACCTTTAGGAAAAACATACTCAATCTCTTATCAAGCAATTGTCTATGTACATGGAGAAATCAGTTGGATCCAGATGAAACTGGACATGGATTTGCATTCATTATATCTCATATCTCTAATGTACCCTGAACGTCCCAGCCTGACTCAGTAGCAGGGGAAGTGGATGTAACCACATCAGCATCAGTGGGCTGCAGCCTCGGGCTCCACAAAATTTTACTGATGCCTGACTAGGGGAGCAAAATCACAGTGCTGCAGCCCATGCACAAACATTTCTGCTGCTTTGTAAGCAGCCTGAATTTTAAGGGAACTTGCTTATATTGGAAGAAAGGAAGAAAGTTCCATTTGTCCTCTAAATGTTTGCTGAAAATGAACCGACAAAAGAATAATGAATAAGAGAAAAGGCAAACAAAATTCACTTAGAGTGCGGTGGGATATCATAGTGGGGTGATTACCCAGATAACTCAATGAGATCCAGTTGTTCATATTTCCTTTCTAGGGAAGAGGGAATTGGGAAGTGTAGGCAACCTGGAGAGAATAGATGAAAAAAGAAATGCATCCTCAAAAGAACAGGCAATAGCCTGCCTGGATAAAGCATCAACTTGCAGTCTCTTCTATTTTTGATTCATGTTTTGTGTTAATCTTCCCTGATATAAAATTTCCCAGGAAGAATTTCCTTGACAATTGTTTTTCTTCTGGAGAATTTGCTTTTAGGCAGATAAGGGATATTTAGGAAAAGACTTCTTGTGCATTTGCTGCTTTCTAAATGCCTTTGGCTTTACATAATCATCATACCAATGCAGCATAGTTTGAGATGTTATTTTCTGGATTCCTTTACTTGCAGCCACCTGCCAAGATCCTGTTTCAGAGAGATGCAGCTGCAGATTGAGTGAGCAGTTGACCCCTGAACAACATGGAGGTTGGGGCACTGACCACAGGTGCAGATGAAAACCTGTGTAGAAGTTTTGCATTTCTAACTTAAGTACTAATAGCTTACTTTTGACTGGAAGCCTTAGTGATAAAATAAATAGTTGATTACACTTTTTTACATTTTATATATATTTTATACTCTATTCTTCCAATAAAGTATGGTAAAGAAAAAAATGTTCTTAAGAAAACCATAAAAATGAGAAAATATATTTACTACTGATTAAGTACTTGCTTTCAGGTGACACAGAAGAAAATATAAGTGTATCTGCAAACTTCAAACCCAAGTTATTCAAGGGTTAACTGTACCATGATGAATGTAGCAGTCCCCATCTGTAGTCTAGGGCTTTCTCCTTTGCTGTACCTCTGCTCACTTCCAATGGCCATATATATGTCTTATGTTCTTTATGATCTTGGGCAGAGAGGTCTGCCTACATGCATTGCTGGCCAGATGTCCTGGAATGTGTATCTCTGAGGAAAGTGCTATGGTTTGACTGTGTCCTCCAAAATCCATCTGTTGTAAAGTTCATTCTCAGTGAAATGGTTTTTGCCAGGTGGGCCCTATTGGGATGTGTTTAGGTCATGAGGGTGGAGCCCTCTAGTGGAATACATTAATGCCAGTATAAACAGGGTTTATAGGGCTGGAATCTTTCTCTCTCTTCTGCTGGTCTGTCCTGATAAGACATGGCCTTCCTTCCATTGAAGGACTCAATGCCCCAGGCATCGTCTTGAAAGCAGAGAAAGCTGACCTTAACCTGCCCATGCCTTGATCTCAAACTTTCCGTACTCCAGAAGTGTGAGAAAATATATTTCTGTTTTTTATGAATTACACAGCGACAAGGAACCTGTTATAGCAGCTTGAAAGAGAACAGGAGAGACAGCTCACAATCAGTGAGGATAAGATGAGGTATATACATATCCCAGCTTTCTCATCTCTCAGGTGGAATAGCCCAGAGGAATTTAGTCCATGTTTCCACATGTGGTTGATCTTCAGTTATCCTGAGTCAGGTGGGTGGTTGATGTGTCTTTTACCATTCATCTTCTGCTCCTGCCTCACTTTCTTCCTTTCCTCCCAGTGTAAATTTGCTGCCTAAACAGGAATACTCATTGCTGGTGGACCCAAAATAAGACAGAAAAAAAAAATCATTGTACTTTTGTATGAGGGATATTTCTCATCTGAATTCTTATCACTTCTCTTTCTTTGACATCTAGGAATATTCAGAAAACACTTTTTTTTAACCAATCTATTTTAGATTGAATTTATTGATTTTTTTTCCTGTGTGTTTTGTGAACCAAAAATTAAGTTGTAAGCCACCAACGAGCTAAATGGACTCCCCTTTTGGCAGAGAGAACTTCAAAGAAATCTGAAAAACTAGGTTAGGCCATGACTGGCAGGTGGGTTTGGATGTGTCTCATTATGCTCTCTTCCCTTTGGAGTTCAGGCACAACTGACCAGCATTATCATTATAACAGAGATCTTTGGACTGAGGAAACAGATGCTTGTAGCAATAAGATACCATACTCCAACATGACAGATAATAGGCCCTGAAGAAAATCTAAAAATTTTACTCTAAAAATATTTCTTTTTCTTTTTCTTTTTTTTGTTTTTTTTTGAGATGGAGTCGCGCTCTGTGCCCAGGCTGGAGAGCAGTGGCGCAATCTTGGCTCACTGCAAGCTCCGCCTCCTGAGTTCATGCCATTCTCCTGCCTCAGCCTTCCAAGCAGCTGGAACTACAGGTGCCCACCACCATGCCCGACTAATTTTTTTTGTATTTTTAGTAGAGATGGGGTTTCACCCTGTTAGCCAGGATGGTCTCGATCTCCTGACCTCGTGATCTACCCACCTCGGCCTCCCAAAGTGCTGAGATTACAGGAGTGAGCCACCGCACCCAACCTATTTCTCTGAAATATTCTGAAGTGGCCCTGCAAAGCTGCGCGTTGTGGGAGAAATTTGCATTCTGTAGAGAATCTCCTATGCTTACTAATCATTTTCCAAAGGTCTGACTTTTTTTTTTTAAGGTCTGACAAGCAACGTCTACTTTTTCTGCTACCCATAGGATTCATCTACACGAAAAGAACCTTGGCTTATCTAAACTCAAGCACACCCCGTTATCTAAACTCAAGCATTTCTTTATGGTGAATTCAACTCTTTAGGCAGAGCTTAACTCTTTCAACCAGTTGCCAATCAGGAAAACTTTGAAGCCACCTGTGACCTGGAAGCCCCTGCTTCAAGATATCCCACCTTTCCAGTACAAACTAATGTATATCTTATATGTATTGATTTATGTCTTTGCCTGTAATTTCTGTGTCTCCCTAAAATGTATAAAACCAACGTGTAATCCAACCACCTTGGGCACATGTTTACAGGACCCCCTAAGGCTGTGTCACAGGCCATAATCCTTATCTTTGGCAAAATAAATCTATAACTTGATTGAGACCTGTCTCAGATACTGTTTTGCTTACACTGGGTCACAAAATTTAAAAATCCTCTAAAACTATCTACACATCCATAAATCTACATTAGAGGCAGTGGAGTGAGCACACTCCAACAGTCAAAACTCACAAGTTAGAGGAACCTGAGTCTAAGATTTTGTCCAGCTCTCTTGCTTCATAAAAATAATTTGTGATTTTTTTAAATTTTACTCTAGAGAAGGACAATTTTGGGGAATATGTTTATGGTCAGTGGAATGAATAATGTCCCCACCCCAAAAGATGTCCATATCCTCGTCTCTGGAACCCATGTTATACGAGTTATTAAGAAACTATTTTAGGCATATAGAGAGGAAACAGGGTCCTTGGGAAGGTTTTGTTTCTTTTAAAGCAGCTCCAGAAATGTTTCTTGTTTAGCAGGAAAGCCCTGGCTCTTAGAGCTGGTCCGGCAAGCTTTTTTTTCTTTTTTAGAGAGGGAGTCTCGCTCTGTAGCCCAGGCTGGAGTGCAGTGGCACGATCTCGGCTCACTGCAAGCTCCGCCCTCTGGTTTCCTCATGCCTCAGCCTCCCAAGTAGCTGGGACTACAGGCGCCCGCCACCACGGCCGGCTAATTTTTTGTATTTTTCAGTAGAGACGGGGTTTCACTGTGTTAGCCAGGATGGTCTCGATCTCCTCACCTCCTGATCTGCCCGCCTCGGCCTCCCAAAGTGCTGGGATTACAGGCGGCAAGCTTTGATATACAAATACTGGCCATTAGAAACTGGGTCCAGCCAAACATGGAGATTCCCACATTCTTCTTCTTTTTTTTTTTTTTTTTTGAGATGGAGTCTCGCTCTGTCGCCCAGGCTGGAGTGCAGTGGAACGATCTCGGCTGACTGCAACCTCTGCCTCCTGGGTTCAAGCGATTCTTCTGCCTCAGTCTCCTGAGTAGCTGGGATTACAGGCACATGCCACCACGCCCAGCTACTTTTTGTGTTTTTAGTAGAGACGGGGTTTCACCATATTGGCCAGGATGGTCTCCATCTCTTGACCTCATGATCCACCTTCCTTGGCCTCCCAAAGTGCTGAGATTACAGGTGTGAGCCACGGCGTCCAGCTCCCACGGTCTTCTTCCTTGCCCCGACATTTGCCTGACAACATGGCTGCCCCCACATATCCCCATGTGTGTAGAACTTTATGGCACCCTGCATTTGCATATTAAAACACTAGGGTGGGAGGGCCAGTTTTTTCTCAAGCTACATGAATGACATGCTTGGTAAAACCAATCCCCTAAGCCCTATGCAAATCAGACACCACCTCCTTCAGCCTCCTCATATAAGCAGCCACTTTTCCACCGCACATGGAGTTTTCTCTTAGTTCTAATCTCCCCTCTCTCTGTCTCTGTACGGTGGAGCTGTTTTCTTCTTCCTTCCTTCTTGCGTATTAAACTTTTCGCTCCTTAAAACAACCCCACGCATGTCCGTTTCTTTTTAAACAAACCCGCGTGAGACTAAGAACGGTGGTGGTCCTCCAGTCATCAGAGCCCTATCATAAGGATTCTACCTTACATAGCAAAAGAAGAACTTGACAGGTGTAAGTTAACGACTTTGAGAATAAGCAACCTGGTTATCCAGATGAAACCAATATAATCACAAAGGTCATTAAAATAGAGGAGGAGGCTTGCAGAGAGGAGCTGGGACAATATGGAAGGATGTGGTTTGAGGAGGGAAGGGGCCATAGAGCCAGAAATGTGGGAGCACCTGGAAGATAAAAGCAGAGGATTCAGTTCTTTCCTCTGGAGCCTCCAGAAGGAATGCAGCCCTACTGACACCTTAACATTAGCTCAGTGAGAATGCTGACCTCCAGAACTACAGGGTAATACATTTATGTTGTGTGAAGCCAATAAGACTGTGGCGATTTAAACAGCAGCATTGGAAACTAATGCAAGGGGAAGAAATGTCTTTCAGCTCACTGAGCGCGTGCTTGTCTTCTGTTCTTGGAAATATTTCCACCTTGTTTTCTGGTGTCAGTTATGACAAGAGACAGAGAAAATTTTTCCGAGAGAAGAGCTACCACGAGAATTCGTTTTTAGCTAGAAAATCTCCTGGGTAAAATCTCATGATTATCTGTTATACGATCTGGGTATCACAGAGTTTGGGGTCAGATCTCACAACATGTGATAGGAGGAAGAGGGTTTTGTTAGTTTGTTTTCATATTGCGAGGGAAAATTAGATTTTCAGGACACAATCTGAGAAGGACAGACAGAGTCAGAGATATTGTAAGAGAAAGAGGAGATGTGGAAGGAGTCAGGGCAATGAAACACGTGTCCCAGCTCCCAAATCTAAAATAAAGTCATTGATTTTACAAGGTGAAGAAAAGCTCTTCACCTTCCATCTTCTTAGGAAGGATCAAATTCTTCCCAGAGTCCCTGCCCCTCCTTCACCCCCCTGACATTGCATTGTGGAGCTAATCACATGTGCCCTTAATCCCTGCTCCTGTCCCAGGCTGGGAGAGGCTCACTGTCCTCACCATGCCCAGCAGGCTAGAGCTGGTGCCCTAAGCACCAAAGGAGAAGAGGATGATTTCTGTGCAGGCAATAAGAGCTTTACCGCATTTTACATTTCCCTAAAATTCTAAGCAAAGTTCTGTGGAGAGAAGAGAACATGGGGCAACTTTATCTGGTGGGGCTGGAAGAGACCAGGCTCTGAGAATGACAATTAATTCACATTTCTACTTTTCCAGATGCCAAATGCTAGCTTTATCAATTGTGGAAATGTGGACTTTGAGTTTAAGAACAGGTTTCAGGTACTGCAATAATTGAGGAGACATTTGGAATAGAGTCCTTAGTCTAGGGCTAAAGTCAGACTGGCAGTGCCTGAGAGCTTCCAGGCGCTGGCCCTGGGCTGTGAGGGAAGCAGCAGTTCTCCTGAGCCACAGGGCTGAGGACCTGGGAGCAACCACAGGCCTTGGCCACAGGGCTGCCTGGCAGGGGCTTGAGGGAAGGAAACTGCTCACAAATTCACAGGAGCTGCATTAAGCATATATCCCGCAGCCTGGCAAGAGTGAAAGTCTCAGAGACCCAGACCTTAGGGCTGGGGCTGGGATTCTGGGCTGGCTGCTGTCGGCTCTGCCCTCCCTTGTCCTGAATGACTGGCACCCTGCTGGAGCCAAAAATGGAGGGTCGGCCAATGTCCTCAAAGTCTTTACTCAGCCAGACCCTGTTCTGCTTGGAAAGAAAATGAACACATGGTATACAAATAAACATAAAATCATGTGTATCTGTAATAAGAATTTCTAATATAAATTTTACATATTGAATACATATATTTTAGAAATAAGTTGTACTTATACATTTGCCTATACTATGTGTCTATTTATGGATAAATATGTGGTACATGTTTATATATAAAGATATATAACTTTGGTTGCTAGTATAAGGTATAGTTTTAAACTTTAATAAAGTAAACACGAACATTGAAAATGAGCACTGGGTGCACCACTTCATGGCCCTCCTCACTCCAGGGCCTAAGGGTGATAAAGCTCAGGACCCTCTTCCATGTCCCCCGGCATGGACAGCAGTGAACTACCCATTGCTGAGGATCATGAGTGACCTGAGGGGGATCTGCAGAATCACAGAGCAGCAGATGCCCAGAAGATTGATAGTTTGGACCCTGAATGGAGGGACATTTTGATCACAGGGCTCAGCATAGACAAGTACTCTTCTGGTCATTTCTGTCAAACAAAACAGCACATGTAGCTCAGAGGCTGCATGATCACAGGATGAAGCACCTCCATGAGTCATTGCCAGCTTCCCCTCTGACTGGGGTGATGTGGGATCTCTCTGCCCCACTTTCATGGCTCACCAGCTGCTGGGACTCTGTTGACAGTGGTCTACATCTGTCCCACGCACAAACTTCTCAATAGTTGTCATTTTACTTACTGGTCTCCAATAACCACAAATTGCCAGCCATGACCCTTCCACAAAAATTGATGGAGTGGGGTTGGAACTATGGGTTCAGCAATGTGCCAGGGCATGTATATAAGAGAAACAAGGTGTGGCCAGCCCATGTCTGAAGTGAGGATGAATTTTCACCATGAATTCGGAGTAGGAGGTGGAAGAAAACATCCTGACATGCTCCAGGCAGTGATGCCCACAAGATACACTAGAAGCGCCCACAGAGGAGGTGGGAAGGGGGTGTGAGAAAAAGAGGGAGTGTGAATTTACAGGTGTCTCCAGACTGTTCACCTGAAAAGAGATCAGACCCTTAACAACACCTGGGACCCCAGGCAGAGCTGTTGCTATGGAAGATTTGTGCAGGACAGGGATAGGAGGAGGGAGCACCTACCTGTGATGGCATCTTGGTTGCTGTTGGCCAGAATGACATCTTTTCAGGCCTACTGTCCCTGACCCAGGCAGGGATCATGTCCAGGAGGGCAGCAGGAGCTCAGAGCCAGGCCCTGGTTCTGCTAGTGCCAGGCTAGGATGTTCTTCATACTCTGGCCAGCTCTACAGGTGACAGTGACCCTCTCCCCTGAGACACAAGGAGGAGGACAACGATGGCATCCACATAACATGCTCACTGTCATCCAAGTGGGGGAACAAACATGCAGATCCCCAAATATTAATACCGAGTTTGTAGTTCCTCCAACTTGGTGCAATTCTGATCAGAAGGAAAAACAGGCTAACAACTTCATCAGCAGGGAAAGTTCATGTTTAATACAAACTATCTGAGGCTGAAGCCTGAGTTTCCCTTCCTCACCAGGCAGTCAGGACAGCAGGAGCAAAAGGAGAAAAGCTGGGTCCCAAAGTCCACAAGGTGCCTCCTGAGACTGATCCTGCTTAGAGAAGGTGGTGACAGTGGATGAGTCTTCTGGGACTCCCACACCAACATACCCTGAGCTGGATGGCTTGAGCCATAGACATTTATTGCTAATTTATTAAACGTTTATTGTGAATGTATTAGAACCCTGGAAAGTTCAAGATCAAAGTCCAGAAGGATTTGCTTTCTGGTGAGAACCCTGCTTCTTGTTTTCAGATGTCACCCCTGGATACATCCTCACGTGTGTTCAGCAATGTGCCGGGCATGTGTAAGTAGGAGAAGCAAGTACATGCTTTCTTCAGTGCATGCTTGGAGGCTGGTGAGGGGTTAAGGAACAGATCGATGATGTTTATTTTTACTAGGACACAAATCCTATTAAATCAGAGCCCCAAGGTTTTCACTTCATTTCACCCTAATTACCCCTTCATAACCTCTATGTCTAAATACAGTAATTTTGCAGGTTGGAGATTCAAAATATGAATTTGTGAAACACAATTCAGTTCATAGCAGGTGTGCTTTGAGGACATGCCCAAGGCAGTAGGAAGGGCAAGGCGAGGCTTCCAGTCTCAGAGCACAGAAGGCGTTTTCCCACCACTCAGCACACTGGCAGCTCCTCTTAGGTGATCCAGGTCACACATGAGACGCCATTCCCGCCTTGGGGGCTGCCTGCTGATAATGGAACAATATCACCCTTAATTTTCACTATTTCTAAGATCAGACTTCTATTTTATGTTTATTATGGAGTTTGTCCAATGGCCAGGTTTGTAACATAACCTCCAATGTTTGGTTTGTGACATAACATCTTATAGAATTTTAGATGCTGGTTTCCAGTGAGACTTGATGGAGTTTTTTCATGGGTTTTCATGGAGTTGATCTTATTACATCCACCATTATGCTGCATTCTGTAGGGAACACAAAATGATTCCTCTCCTCAATAAACCAGTCACCTAGTTGAAGATAAAGGGTGTTCAGAAAAGATGGTCACAAAACAATTAGGGGCTAGATTCTGTGATCCATGTGAGATGCCAATGATGTGATTCTGGAAAGCAGAAGGTGAGGTTGTGAGATACCCTGCAGCACATAATGCCCAAGGCTAGGGTGGCGAGTAGAGGGCCCCTGGTCTGGATCTGTCTACCCAGCTTCATTCCTCCCATTCGTGAAACAGTGGCTGCACCAGCCAGGAAGCATCTGAGACCACCTGATTCTCTGGAATAATAGCTGCTGAGGTTTGTGCTGTGAGCTATAACACTGTGAGTCTCTAACTGTAACCATTTAGATTAGCACTAATGAAAATAATTTTTAAGATGGTGAAAATGTCTATATCTATGCTTTGCAAGTGTAGCCGTTATATGTCATATGTGACTCCTGAACACTTGAAATGTAGTGAAAACAACTAAGGAACTATATTGTTAATTTTAATTAATTCCAATATACATGTTTGTGGCTGGGTACTGCTAATGTTGGCCATGTGAGTCAGGGAAGTTTTAGATGGTAATAAACAGCAATGTCATCAGGACAACCAATCTGCTAAATGTTAAGCAAAGATGATCCCAGGACCATTGCACCAAGCTGGAGTGGACAAGGTGGAAAGAGCACGTAGGTGGATCTTTGGAACCCAGATTCTGCTTCCTCCAGGTGAATGATGTAAACTCTCTGTCTTGAAGACACTGACATTGAAGCTAGCGACTGGGGAGCTGAGTGTTTCTCCTGGAAGCTGCAGTGGAAACAGAACATAGATCTTCCTTAGTATTACTCATGTCCCTCTCCATAGGCTTCCCAGCAGAGAGGTGCTGTCTGATCAAGTGGGAGGTGAATGCTGTGCTCCCTAATCAATAGTCTTTCTCAGTCCCATGGGACATATGAACCCTGTCACATGCAGCCCACGCAGTTGAAGCCAGAGCCCCATGTCCAGTGTCCAGTGTTGCCTCTGCCTTCGGTGATCCCACCCTACAGGACCCAGTGATGAAGGCTTGAGTGGCAGGGAAGAGCTTTGGGGAGCCTGCCAACTAGCAATAAGGGTGCAGACTTGGGCTTCCAGCTTCTGAGCAAGGGAACATTGTATGTCCTAGGTGTGATCCAGGTCAAGGTGTTTGATAAAAGATATTACAATAAATTATTTTCTTAAGAAAATAAAAACACAGAAGGCATCTGATTATTATAGGACTGTTTGGGTTTTATACCACTAAAGTGGTAAAAATAAATTTTTCAATGCGCAGTGGTTTATCAGGAATCTCCCAGCCCCTGCCCTTCCCGTGATGATTCTGTAGTCTTTGCAGGTTGTATGGTCACTTGGTGGCCTCCTTACCGATCAGATGCATCTACAGCACAACCCTAAGATCTTCCCCGATTAACATAGATGAGCAACTTCAACCTCCAGATACCACATACCATTGGCTGATTTTTATGCAATTTATCAACACTGAAAGTATTCTATTCCATTTCATTATGTAGTTATTATTCTGTGCATGGCTCATTCCCCTACTGAGTATCAGTATTTGCGATCAAAAATTGTTTTATTTACTTACATGCACTAAACCTTAAATGATAGCATTTATTAGTTCTGAAAACTCTGACATTAAGTTAAAATCCCTTAAAAGCAACTATATGCTTCTTTTTTTAATTAGAATAAATATGGTGCAATCACCTCAACTAAGGATACTAAACTACTTTTACAGTTGAAAATGATTAATTGGACATGGGGAAACATATTGACAAAAGTAACAAGCATTATTATGATGTTGAATAAACACAGTTTGCATGTAAAGTGTACAGTTATGATTAATTGTATTAAAACACAGGAGGAAGAAAGGTGGGGATTGCTGGATTGGTTGGTGATTCAGTCCTTAGAAGCAAGGGGGAGCTGATGAGTGATCTCAGGCAGGCATCCAATATAAGGTCCAAATATGATTAATTACAATGTTCTTTTCCTTAAGGTTTGATATTTTAAGCTGGTCCTGCTGGGGAAGTTTTGAGCACATTCATGGAATATGTGGAATAAAGATTAAAAACAGTATATTTCAAAATACTCTTAAAAAGCTCAGAAACACCCAAAGAAAACTATTTTATAAAATATCATGCCTTCCTCGCCCATTCTTGATATTTGTGTTTAACCAAGCATGACTCACAATTCAACTTTTCTCCACATTGTTGCCTAGAGTGTTGAAGAAATTCCTCTAATAGGACAGAAATGGAGTCAATCTTGCAATATCTGGCCAATCGTGTTCTGGCCAGTCTTGCTTTATCTCAGAATGTTACATTTCCAGAAACTTCTACAGTTATTCCTGAAAACTACAAGCAAGAAAGGGAAGGAGACTGGGATCATTCAAGGCAAAATGGAACCTGTTCTGCAAATACTGTAGTGAAATCATAACTCAGTAATCGTTTTGTGACTGGCTTATTTCACTTAGTGTAATGTCCTCTAGTTTCATCCAAGTTGTAGCATGTGTCAGAATTTCCCTTTTTAAAGCTAATTTTGCCTTTTTAAAGCTACAATATGCTACTGTATGTATATACCACATTTGGATTACCAGTTCCCTCCTTTGTGAACATTTGAGTTGCTTCTACCTTTTGGCTATTGTGAATAATTCGGTTCTGAATGTGGATATACAAATATATCCTCAAGTTAATGTCTTCAGTTACTTGGGTATATGTCCAAAAGTGGAATTGCTGAATTATATAGTATTTCTATTTTTAATTCTTCGAGGAATTGCCATCTGGTTTCCCACAGCAGGTGGGCCATTTACATCACCACGACAGTGTCCACAGGAGTTCCAGTTCCCTAAGTTCTCACCAAGACTGGTCATTTTCTGTTGGAAAAAAAATCCTAATAGGTGTGAGGTGGGTTTTGTTTTTATTTTTCTAAGGATTAATAATGTTGACCATGTTTTCCTATGCTAGTTTTCTAATTATCTCTATAGAATCTTCTTTAGAGAAATGTCGATTCATGTACTTTCCTCATTTTTAATCAGGTATTTTATTTTAAGGTTCACATATAAGACTTATTTTTGTATAGTAGATATTATTAACCCCTTATCAAATATAAGATTTACAAATGTTTTCTTCTATTCCACATGTTGCATTTTCACTGTGTTGATTATGTCTTTTGATGCCCATTTTACATTTTTATGAAGTCCAATTTATCTTCTTTTCTACTTTTGCCTGTATTTTGGTATTAAAGTTGTTAGTATTTAAATGTCTATAAATACTGACTTACTATGCTGAGAAGGTCACACTGCACCATCTCTCTGATGGTGGAGCTAAGAGTTTTACACTCTCCCATTTTGTACCGGGGGACAGTGCAGCTATGTGAGAACCCAGTGGCTTTACCCAGCTTATTTGTCTTGCATTTTTGGTGACATGGATTGTTATTCACATTGGCTTCCTCTGGCAGGTCCACCTGGAAAGCATTATATTTAGCAAGAAAAAAGGAGGCAGTGAATGATGTCACTGTGGACTGTGTATATTCCCTGTTGCAAATGTCAAATTCGTGAAGCATAAAGGGATTTACTAGAGGATATTAAATTCCTTGCAAATTGTTGAAAAGCCTTAAGGAACAGGCTCCAGGCAAAGCCTCTAGAACAATTCCAAGAATGGCACTGCTGGCACAGGCTGGGGAGGAGCTCCTCCTGCCTGAGACTCCACAACATTCAAGCTGTCTCCTGCAGAAAAGAGAGCAGCTCTTCTCACTACTGCCCCCAGAAGGACAGCCGCTCTGCTATCAACTACGAGAGATCTGACCCCTTTCTCTGACTGCCCATCAGATGTGTTACTACAGAGTGCTTTTGGATTGAGATGAGGGAGGGAAAATGCCTGATCTCACTCAAATGTGCTCATTTTCCTGGTCTGGGTCTCAGCCAGGCAGCACAGTCCTGTGGGCACAGTATCTTCACTTGCCAGGTTCCTATAAAATGAGAGTATCTTTCTTGACTGTGGAAAATATGGGGATGGTAAGGGTCAAGGAATAGGAAAAGGAGTACTTGGAGTTGCCTGAGCTGCCACTCTGGTTTCCCCAAATGTTTTCAATCCATTAAATTCATGATAATAAACACCTTTCTGCCTAACCAGCCATAATCGCTTTTCTTAGATCCAAATGATTCTGTGATAAAACTAAAGAGAAAAAATAAATACACTTTTCAACGTTTAAGCTGACCAGGAGGCTGTCTCTGGTGTTTACATGTCCATATCCCACTATGCATTTCGTCTTCCCTTTGCCTCACTGGAGATCCAAGTGCAGGGAATGCTTCATATGACTGTGATCCCTAGAACTTCATCCTCATGACTGTTGAAATCTTCTCTGAGTTTTACCAGTGGAAATGGCAATAAATAGAAAGATTCCAGAAGGTCCCCTAGGGTCCATATTTTCTGTACTTCCTCTCTAAAATATGTAAAATCAATTATATTTGCTCTTGCTTTATATGGGCTACATCTGTGTCCCCAGCACACACCCTAACGCCCTGCGTTGACAACTTATCCAGTATTGTATTAAGTCTAAATAGGCACATGTTTATCATATTATTTCTTCCAATTTAATGAGATAATTGTCATGTCAAATCTTTGGATTAAGAACCATCAGCCAGAAAACCACAGCCCTGAGAAAATAGAAATAGAGTATTTCAAGCTGTTCAGTTTGCACAACAATGATGATTCTATAGCTCATTTACAAGATATAAATATTCTGTTTATGGGAGTAAGAGCAACATTCACGGTGAGTGTTGTAGACCCTCCGCCACATCTGACAGCATAGCAATTCAATAGCACAAGGGTTTGTGTGCCAGCAGTGCTTGACTAATAATGGGTTTTTTTTCTATAGGGAAAGCTGCACCTGTGCACATGACAGGATCATGAGCTACACTTTACTTCACTTTTTTTGAAGTCAATTACCTTCTTGATCCAAAGCCACAGTATGGAAGAACTTCCTGACTCTGATGAAGGCATTTGGAAAATCCTCAAATAATATTTTATGCAGTAACATAACCAAAGACAAAGGAAAATTCATATATAGGATAATAACCACTGCTCTCCTCATGTTACATGAAGTGCACTTGAATCACCTGACATCAGCTGTTAGTATGAGCCCTGATGTGTGGTAGAATGTTAGGGGCTCAGGAAGGGTCAATTTTCTTGGCAAATTAGTGTTCAAGAGAGCCAGTAGCCCTGTACATCTCAGTTAGTTGAAACTCATATTATTGAGTCCCCACAGGGACCTCCGTAACAGTGGTTCATGAGGTTACCTGGGAAAGTGGGCAAAGGTGACTGACTGAAGTCCATGTGTTCAATCATCCTCATTATGAAAAGCCCCCTGCTCATTAATGGCATTTGGATTAATATTCACTGAGAAAGCATGTTTTTCGATTATGGCTCATTTTTGAAACATCTAGTCATAGCTCTTCCAAAATGACTTTGTCTGCAATCATCCTGTTGTGTTTCTTTTAAGGCCTGATGATCTGTCAAAACCAACAACCAATATTATTAAATTGCTGTTCTCTTTGCAATGTGGCAATGTGATCATCAGATGTAGGCCTTGCAGTTTACCCACGGTTAGGATTTTTACATTTCCAGGGATTCCTTGACAATGGCACTAATGTGACGCCATCTAGCATCCATTGTTGTGAGAACTCTATTTGGAATATCATCATTGTGGGCATGAACATAATGGAGACTTTCATAGGATGCAATGATTAATATTCAACATTAGTCAAAATCTGCTGTAGTCCTACCCTTGGAGATCTACTGGTTTGGAAAAATATTTTAGGTAAGGACAACAATTTGGTAAAGTTTTAAAAATAAAGGCTAAAAAGAAATTTTCTTTAGCAAGAGTATGAACTATCTGTGGTCCAGAATACCATTTTTTTACAGATGCAAGAAAAAATTATTTAAATGTATATAATTTAGATAATAATTTTGTAAATTTGTATATATTGCATATATAATAGAATAAACATAATTAAATATGAATACTATATATACTTATAGCCAACATTTTATCAAATAAATATATATTAACTTCTATGTATCTTATATATATGCACATTTTTCCATAAATAAGGTAAATTTTAATTTTTTAATGAAATACTAATTAGTTTTAATTTCATCTTTAATTTTCTCTTAATAACTTCATAATTTGATTACTTAATGTTCACATTTATACCACCAATTTAAGAAAAAACACATGTATCTATATATAGGCAGAGGTGTAAATACTGTATCAGTAAGCTTTTATGCATTAATGATTGATAATCGGTTAAATATACAACTCAGTGGCTGATAACTGTAAATATTTGTTTTCATCTTCATGGATGCTCATGTTCACAATCATCTGGCTGATTAAGGAAGGGCTCAGCTGATTGATTCCTCCGCAGGGCACTGAGCTTGTCTTTAGCCTACAGATACCAATTTTCTGAGGACGAGGCTGAACAGCAGTGACTACACGTGACACAAGATTCTTGTGACAGGTCACAGGAGTGAACAACATCCCAAACCGAACTGCACAGTTGAATTTAAGTCCAATAATTTCTAACATAGCTTCACACATTTTAAATATATTTTTTGATTTCAGTGAGTACAAATTTTCAAGAAAATGTTTACTCCAATTAATTATAGAGGTGTTTGATCATTCCATGGACAAGTAATTATGTTTTCAACCTTTACAATCCTGAAAATATTTGCAAACGTAAATTTGCATTAATAAGAAAATAAAGCTGGATGTGTTTTCAACATGTGCTTTTAAATATAATTTTTGAAATGACCTCAAAGGGGGAAAATCATTTTAACTTATGTAACTATCCCTTTTTACCTCTCTTGTGTCCTATAGAGTTGCCCAATAAGAGGTCCTCCCATGAGATTTGGAATCAGAAAAGGATGACTCAATATTCTCCATTGGTACCTAAGGCAGACACAGGAACAGAGGTGAGGACTAGAGAAACACCTGAAAAGATGCTGTAGGAAGCTGAGAGCATCAGCACCCCCACCCCTAAGCTTCCAGACAGGACTGAGGACCACATGGTTAGAAAGCCCTTACTTCAGGGACAGATGCATTCTGTTTTCTGAGGGAGCACCAGAGATTCCTGCTTCTAATATCAGCTTTCCTGACTACTATATCCTTGGCTTTGAAAGGTCATAGTGGGAAAGTTAATCATAGGAATTCGGTCATTCTTGTGATACCCGACAGAGCCAAGAAACCAGGAGGGAAAGGCACTCAGGGTGAAAAATACTGTTTCTAGAATGCAATTGAAATAGGCCCTATTATCCCATGGAACTAAAGTTTATGGTTTTTTGAATAAACAGAAATCGACTCCTCCAGTCTTAAAACTCAAGATAGCAACATTTATCTTACCTTTCTTTTTTTTTTTTTTTTTTTTTTAAATTTCAGGAAAGCAACCATCAGGCCTCCCAGATACTATCAATTTGCTGAAACTTATATATCACTGAATCGGGACAGTGAGACATCAGACCCTTCACCCATTATGATTGCCTAACTGACCTCCTGCTTCCTGTTGACCCAATTATCTTTCTTAACCCTCCCTAACTCCTGTTTTTCCACATTTCTTCCTTGTTATATAAACCCCTAATTTCAGTTGGTCAGAGAGATACATTTGAGAATGGCATCCCATCTCCTCAGCTGCAGCACCTGATTAAAGCCTGTTCCTTGAAAATACTTGTCTTAGTGATTGGCTTTCTGTGTGACGAGCTGCAGGATCTACACCGAATCCCTGGCATTTCAGTAACAAAATTCTCTGCAAGCTTCACCGTTTTGGTTTATTGTAACCTGAAATCAAATTTATCCAAAACTTCTGAGATAACTTGATATAATTCTAGGATTCACTTTGTCCACCACTGCTTACCAGTCTGAGCTTGCCAGCTCCCAACCCTTCCTAGTGCCAATGAGCTTTCTCAAAAGAGCCATAGGTAACATTTTCCCTTTTTCATAAAATGCTAAATTTCTCTTTGTTCTTCCAACATATTGAAGACCACTGAGTTTTCCTGTATGCCCCATTTGGCAAATATTTCTTTGCAAATAAAACATTAAATTTAGAGATTCATCTCTACATTTTATTTAGACTTCAGTAGTTTACTCTAATTCTCTGTATTAAGACTATATCTGCTTCAAATATCTATAGTGGCTTCTTCTCTGTTATACGAATTCCAACTGAAGCCATAAACTAGACTCTTCAGGTGTCATGATCTCTGTCTTTATTAAATCAAGAGAGGCATTGCTAGAACTGTGCAGTTGGGGCTGAGAAAGAGAAAAGAATTAGGGTGCAGAGGTGACTTCGTGTCCCCCTCTACCAACACCATCAGAGTGTGGCTGCATCTGAGGAACAATCTCAGCCAATGGAGGCATCAGGAGGAGCAGCTGGGGCAGCCCAGTCTCACACATCTGCTTCCCTGGGGGTTTCTGTTCGGGTGTGTAACACTGTGGGAGGGTAATTGTAATCTTGTAGACAGTAATAAGTTGCAAAATCTTCAGGCTGCAGGCTGCTGATGGTGAGAGTGAAATCTGTGCCAGATCCACTGCCGCTGAACCTTGATGGGACCCCACTTTGTAAACTGGATGCAGCATAGATCAGGAGCTTAGGGGCTTTCCCTGGTTTCTGCTGATACCAGCCTAAATCATTTCTAATGCCCTGACTTGCCCGGCAAGTGATGGTGACTCTGTCTCCAACAGATGCAGACAGGGAGGATGGAGACTGGGTCATCTGGATGGCACATCTGGCACCTGAGATTGGAAACACAAAAACAAATGGTCCACACAATTAATCATGTAGTAAGAGAATTTCCCTGAATAGCCAGGCTGTGCTGAGCACCCTGGGCTGAGTAAACTGCCAGTGTTCTCCATCCTTACCTGGGAGCCAGAGCAGCAGGAGCCCCAGGAGCTGAGCGGGGACCCTCATGTCCATGCTGTGTCCTGAGTGGGTCTGACTCCTGCACAGGGTGTGATCAGCCTGTTAATAAGTCTTCAGGTCAGGAGACTGTGCTCTGGGAACATGCAAATGAGCAGGGGAAGGGGCAGGCTGGGCACAGCTGCAGGGCTGGCTCATCTCAGTAACTCAGCACCGGCTCAGTGTCCCCAGGTGTCCCAGGTAAGACCAGGGTAGCACAAATTTGTCTGCAGAGAATGTGTTTCTACTGGGGACTATTTTGTTATGAGAAACATTTTAAAGATATTTTTTGACAATATTCCTCGAGAGTCAATGGGGTAATATATTTCATTGGTGTATGGGGATTATTTTGGAGAATATTCTTGTTTGTAGGAAACACAGTACATATTAGATGGTACGATTCTCAGGTCTTCAAAAGACTGTTATAAGATTCCATTTAGGGAAGGGGGTAATTGTGCTATACTTGAAACATTTCTGTGAGTTTAACATTGTTCCTTTCTAAAAAATTAAAAATAAAATTTATTGACATGATGCTATATATATTTGTAAGTATTAGGTAATGGTGTTATGCCATTGTTCTTACCAGTATAAGATCAAACAATTTACTACAGATACACAAAGATGATGCCGTGCTTCTTCAATGCATGTGGCACTAACAGCCCCACCATTATCAAGAGCTACAGGTCTTTTTAATACCCAGAGACTAAATGGGCTGCACCTGTGTAGAATTTTTGCATCCCTAACTTAAGTACTAATAGATTGCTTTTGATTGGAAGCCTTAGCAATAAAATAAATAGTTGATTAACATGTTTTTTAATGTTATATATATTATATACTCTATTATTCCAATAAAGTATGCTAAAGAAAAAAATGTTATTAAGGAAACCATAAAATAGAGAAAATATATTTACTACTTATTAAGCATTTGCTTACAGGTGACACACACAGAACAAAATATAAGTGTATCTGCAAATTTCAAACCCAAGTTATTCAAGGGTTAACTGTACCATGATGAACGTAGCAGTCCCCATCTGTAATCTAGGGCTTTCCCCTTTGCTGTACCTCTACTCATTTCCAATGACCATATATATGTCTTATGTTCTTTATGATCTTGGGCAGAGAACTCTGCCTGGATGCATTGCTGGCCAGATGGCCTGGAATGTGTATCTCTTAGGAAAGTGCTATGGTTTGACTGTGTCCTCCAGAATCCATCTATTGTAAAGTTAATTCTCAGTGTAATGGTTTTTGCCAGGTGGGGCCTATTGGGATGTGTTTAGGTCATGAGGCTGGAGCCCTCTAGCGGAATACATTAATGCCACTATAAACAGGAATTACAGGGCTGAGATCTCTCTCCTGCTCCTCTGACATGTTAAGACATGGCCTTCCTTCCTTTGAAGAACTCAACGCTCCAGGCATCATCTTGAAAGCGGAGAAAGCAGACCATGTGGTTGATCTTCAGTTATCCTGAGTCAGGTAGGTTGTTGATGTGTCTTTTACCATTCATTTTCTGTTCCCTCCCTCACTTTCCTCCTTTCCTCCCAGTATAAATTTGCTACCTAACAGGAATCCTTATTGCTGGTGGATCCAAACTGAGAGAGTAAAAAAGAAAAGTCATTAATCTTTTGTATGAGGGGTATTTCTCATCTGAAATCTTACCATTTCTCTTTCTTTGATATGTACAAATATTCAGGAAGCACCTAATTTTTTTTTTTTTACCAATGTATCTTAGATTGAATTTACGCTGTGATTTTTTTTCTGTGTGTTAAAACAAAAAATCAAGTTGTAAGCCACCAACCTACTCAATGGGCTTCTCTTTTGGCAGAGAGAACGTCAAAGAAATCTGAAAAACTAGGTTAGGCCATGACTGGCAGGTGGGTTTAGATGTAACTCATTATACTCTCCTCCCTTTGGAGTTCAGACAAAACTGACCAGTGTTATCATTACAACAGAGATCTTTAGACTGACAAATCAAATGCTTTGTAGCAATAAGATACCATACTCCAACATGACAGATAATAGGCCCTGAAGAAAATCTAAATATTGTACCCTAAAAATATTTTTTTTGATGTATTCTGAAGTGGCCCTGCAAAGCTGCCTGTTATGGGGGAAATTTGCATTCTGCAGAGCATCTCCTCCTCTTACTATGTCTTTTCCAAAGAGTTGGACATTTCTTTAAAGGTCTGATAAGCAACATTCACCATCTACTTTACTGTTACCTGCAAGGTTCATCTAAGTGACAAGAACCTTGACTTCCACACCCCCTTATCTAAACTCAAGGATTTCTTTATGATGAATTCAACTCTTTAGGCAGAGCTTAACTCTTTCAACCAGTTGCCAATCAGGAAAACTTTGAAGCCACCTGTGACCTGGAAGCCCCTGCTTCAAGATATCCCACCTTTCCAGGACAAACTAATGTATATCTTATATGTACTGACTTAGGTCTTTCCCTGTAATTTTTGTGTCTCCCTAAAATGTATAAAACCAACGTGTAATCCAGCCACCTTGGGCACATATTTGCAGGGCCTCCTAAAGCTGTGTCACAGGCCATAAGCCTTATCTTTGGCAAAATAAACCTATACATTGATTGAGACCTGTCTCAGATACTGTTTTGTTTACACTGGGTCACAAAAGTTAAAAATCCTCTAAAACTCTCTACACATCTATAAATCTACATTAGAGACAGTGGAGTGAGTATACCTCAACTCAAGTCATACTTTGAGTTTAAGAACCAGACAGATTTTCAGGTACTTCGATAAATGAGGAGACATTTGGAATAGGGTCCTTAGCCCAGAGCTAAGGTCAGGCTGGCAGTGCCTGAGCGCTTCCAGGCCCTGGCCCTGGTCTGTGGAGGAAGCCACTGTTCTCCTGAGCCACAGGGCTGAGAACCTGGGATGAGCCACAGGCCTTGGCCGCAGGGCTGCCTGGCAGGGTCTTCAGGGAGGGAAACTGCTCACAAATTCGCGGGAGCTGCATTAAGCATATATCCCCCCAGCCTGGCAAGAGTGAAAGTCTCAGGACACAGACCTTAGGGCTGGGGCTGGGATCCTGGGCTGGCTGCTGTCAGCTGTGTCCTCCCTTGTCCTGAATGACTGGGACCCTGCTGGAGCCAAAGAGGGAGGGTCAGCAAATGTCCTCAAGGTCTTCACTCAGCCAGACTCTGTTCTGCTTGGAAAGAAAAGGAACACATGCTACAAAAATAAACATAAAATTATGTGTATTTGTAATATGAATTTCTAGTATAAACTTTACATATTAAATACATACATTTTAGAAATAAGTTATATTTATATATTTGTATATACTATGTATCTGTGGATAAATATGTGATGCATGTTTATGTATAAAGAGATGCAAGTTTCATTGCTAGTATAAGGTATAGTTTTAAACTTTAATAAATTGAACGTGAACATTGAAAACAAGCACTGGGTGCACCACCTCATGGCCCCTCCTCACTCCAGGGCCTGAGGGTCATAAAGCTCGGGACTCTCTTCCATGTGCCCCCTGGGCCGATAGCAGTGAGCTACCCATTGCTGAGGATCATGAGTGACCTGAGGGGGATCTGCAGAATCACAGGGCAGCAGATGCCCAGGAGATGGATAGTGAATTTGGACCCTGAATGGAGGGACGTTTTGTCCACAGGGCTCAGCACAGACAAGTCCTTTTCTGGTCATTTCTGTCAAGCAAAGCAGCACACATGGCTCAGAGGCTGCATGGTCAGAGGAATAAGCCCCTCCATGGCTCATTCCCAGCTTCCCCTCTGACTGGGGTGATGTGGGATCTCTCTGCCCAGCTTTCATGACTGACCAGCTGCTGGGACCCTGTTAACAATGGCCTATGTCAGTGCCATGCACAAGCTTCTTGATAGTTACCATTTTACTTTCTGGTCTCCAATAACCACAAATTGCCAACCATGACCGTTTCACAAAGATTCATGGAGAGGGGTCAGAATTATGGGTTGAGCAACGTGCCGGGGCATGTATGTAAGAGAAACAAGGTGTGGCCAGCCCATGTGGAAGTGAGGATGAATTTTCATCATGAATTCAGAGAAGGAGGTGGGAGAAAGCATCTGACATGCTTCAGGCAGTGATGGCCACAAGATACATTAGAGATGTTCATAGAAGAGGTGGCAAGTGGGTTTGAGATGAAAAGGGAATGTGAATTCAGAGGTGTCCCCCAGCCTGTTCCCCTGAGAAGATTTCAGACCCTTAGCAACCCCTGGGCCCCCAGGTAGAGCTGTTGCTAGGGAAGATTTGTACATGATAGGGGACAGGAAGAGGGATCACCTACCTCTGAAGGCATCTTGGTTGGTAGTGGCCAGAGTGACATCTGTTCAGGCCCATTATTATCCCTGACCCAGGCAGGGATCATGTCCAGGAGGGCAGTAGGAGCCAGCAGGAGCTCAGAGCCATGCCCCAGTTCTGCTGGTGCCAGGCTAGGATGTTCTTCATACTCTGGCCAGCCCTGCAGGTGACAGTGACCCTCTAACCTGAGAGACAAGGAAGAGGATGAAGATGGCATCCACATAACATGCTCACTGTCATCCAAGTGGGGGAACAAGCATGCAGATTCCCAAATATTAATACCAAGCTTTTATTTCATCCAACTTGATGAAATTCTGATCAGAAGGAGAAACAGTCTAACAAATTCATCATCAAGGAAAGTTCATGTTTAATACAAACTATCTGAGGCTGAAACCTGACTTCCCCTTCCTCACCAGGCAGTCAGGACAGCAGGAGCAAAAGGAGAAAAGCTGGGTCCCAAAGTCCACAAGGTGACTCCTGGGGCTGATCCTGCTCAGAGAACGTGGCAACAGTGGATAAGTCTGCCGAGAATGCCACACCATCATACTCTGAGCTGGAGGGCTTCAACCACAGACATTTATTGCTAATTTATTAGACATTTATTGCGAATATATTAGAACCATGGAAGGTTCAAGATCAAAGTCCAGAAGGATTTGCTTTCTGGTGAGAACCCTGTTTGTTTCCAGATGTCCTCTCTGGATACATCCTCATGTGTGTTCAGCAATGTGCCAGGCATGTGTAAGAGAAGCAAGTGCATGCTTTACTCAGTACACGCTTGGAGGCTGGTGAGGGGTTCAGTAACAGCTCAATGATATTTCTTTTTATTAGGACACAAATCCTATTAAATCAGAACCCCGATGTTTTCACCTCATTTCACCCTAATTACCTCTTCATAACCTCTATGTCTAAATGCAGTAATATTGGAGGTTGGAGATTCAAAATATGAATTTGTGAAACACCATTCAGTTCATAGCAGGTGCACTTTGAGGATATGGCCAAGGCAGTAGGAAGGGCAAGGCAAGGCTTCCAGTCTCAGAGCACAGAGGGCATTTTCCCACCACTCAGCACACTGGCAGCTCCTCCCAGGTGATCCAGGTCACACATGAGACCCCATTCCTGCCTTGGGGGCTGCCTGCTGATAATGAAACAACATCACCCTTAATTTCACTATTTCTAAGATCAGGCTTCTATTTTGTGTTTATTATGGGGTTTGTCCAATGGCCAGGTTTGTGACATACCACCCAATGGCAGGTTTGTGACATAACATCTTATAGAATTTTAGATGCTGGTTTCCAGTGAGACTTGATGGAGTTTTTTCATGGGTTTTCATGGAGTTGATCTTATTACATCCATCAATAGGCTGCATTCTGTAGGGAATACAAAACGATTCCTCTCCTCAATAAACCAGTCACCTAGTTGAAGATAAAGAGTTGAGAAAAGATGGTCACAAAACAATCAGGTGTTAAATTCTGTGATCCATGTGAGATGCCAACAATGTGGTTCTGGGAAAGAGAGAGTGAGGTTGTGAGGGGCCCTGCAGAGCACAATGTCCAGGGCTAGGGTCGGGAGTAGAGGGCCCCTGGTCTGGATCTGTCTACTCAGCTTCATTCCTCCCATTGTTGAAACAGTGGCTGCACCAGCCAGCAAGCATCTGAGACCACCTGATTCTCTGGACTAACAGCTGCTGAGGTTTGTGCTCTGAGCTATAACACTGTGAGGGTCTAACTGTAACCATTTAGATCAGCACTAATGAAAATAATTTTTTAATATGGTGAAAATGTCTGCAAATTTCTAACAGAAAAATTGATGAAAAGATGGTTTTAATTAGGCCCCCACAGCAGTCTCTGCCTGGGACCTGACTTTGTCTTTGAGCCAGTGGAATCTATGCTGAGATTGTAAGCTGGGCAGGGAAATCACAGCAGGGCAGGCTGTGCTCTGGGTGCTGAGGAGGACAGGAGGACACTCCTTCAGGGTTAGTGATGCTGGGAGTTCGAGGGGAGAGACTGCATGGAGCTGCCTGTGAATCGCCCTAGCAATGCCCTCTGGACACTGCTCATCTCACAAGTGTACTCGGATGCCAGTGGATGGCCCAAACATGGGCTCAGGTTGGACAAGGACAAAGATTTAGGGATGAATATATGGGGCTCATTTGATACTCTGAAGTTTCAGCACAAGCATAACGAATTATATGGGGAGAGAAAGAAGTCACAAGGTTGTGATTTTTCATTTGGTATTAAAATATATCCCCTCTGCTCATTTTTCCCTGCAGAATGTAACTACTGATACATATTTAAGCAAAGTCACTGTTTTTAATTGTTTTAGTAACTGACAGCCTGTGTGCACAGTTCCTAAGTAACTGGGTAGCCAGACCATCATTCCTATGGTAAAGCCAGGAAGTGACTGTGGATGTGAACAAATGTGAGTTTAATGTACATGTCTCCAAAGCCACGGGCCACTGATCTAGGGAGAACCTGCAGTCAGTTTGCTTTCCCATGCCCAGATGAGAGGACACCTTGATCTGTGTTCTTCTGATGAACTCTAAAAACTCTAAAAACTGATGAACTCTAAAAACTAATATTCTGAAGGTCTAGTTCATACTTCTTTTCTTTGCTAGAGGGACTCTCTCACTCACATGTATTGTACTCTCTGCATAGAACAGTATGTGATACATACAACTTGTTTTCTGCTAAATACCCATCAATCATGTCATTCATGAGTCTTCCATAGATGTTACCTGCCCTATGAATCTGGGCTCTTCCAAAAGAATGGGCCAGAGGTGGAGCTGTGCTTTCACATTCTCTTGTGCTTCCCTCGTGGACAACCTTTGCTAGTTGTCACCCTTCCCACCCAGCAAAAGTAACTGTCTTTCTGACATCTACACAATCATTTAGGTTTTCCTGTCTTAAACTTCATATAAATAGCATTATGTGTATTTTTATCTTTTTAGTCTTGGTATTATTCCTTACTACTTTTGAGGCCTTCATTTCTTCCAGTGGACTCAAGGTCCTGTCTGATGTCATTTCCTGTGATTCTGAAGGATTTTCTCTCAAATGTTTTATAAGACATAGCTGCTATGAATGAATGTATTTTGTTTACCAAAATTTTTTTTTTTGCCTTTTTGTTAGATTTGAAGGATATTTTCACTGGATAGATTTCCTGGCTGCCTTCTTTTTTTTCCTTTTCAGCATTTAAATATGTCATTTTACTGCTTCTAGCCTCTATTGGTCCCGATGAAAACTTAGCCAATGGCTACGTTGTTGTGTCTCTGTATATAGTGTCTGCTTTTATTCTGATGCAATGAAGATTTTTTCTTTGTCTTTCAACATTTTAATATAGTGTGTTCACTTATTAATTTCTATTGACTATCTAAAAGGGTTTTATTGAATTATTTCATCTAAGAATATTTTTTATTACTTTTGAAAAGTTTTTGTCATTGTATCTCCAAATATTTTTTCAGCCACTTTCTCTGTCTCTCCTTCTTTGTGACTCTCATTATACATTTGTTGGTATCCTTCACTCTGAGCTATAAATCTCTGACATTTCTTCCTTTTTTTCTAAACATTTTCTTTAGGCTCAAACATTTCCATTCCTCTATTTTCAAGTTAACTGATTGTTCTGTCATCTCAATTTGCTATTAGACCTAGCTAATAAATATTTAAATTGTATTATGGTACTTTTCATTTCTAGAGTTCCCATTTGGTCATTTTTTATACTTTCCATTTCTTTTCTTGAGGTCCTACTTGCTGAATCTTCTTTTTAAAAATATTTTCGTTTTTATGTCAATGATCATAGTTTTAAAAATAATTATTTGAACATCTGCATATTAACTGCTTTGTAGTCTTTGCTAAAGCCAATAATGAGGACAAGTTAGAATCAGCTTTCATTGGCTATTTTCTGTTGTCATTATTGTAGTTGCTTTACTTTGTTCCTTCAATATAAATCATACTCCTCTGTTTTTTTTTCAGGATTTTTTAAAACTGAAAGCTGCACACTTTTGATAATATATTATAGTACCTCTCTTTAGATTGTGGGGTTTTTATTTTAATTTTAATTTTTTTAGAAACAGGGTCTCACTCTGTCACCCAGGCTGGAGTGTGGTGGTGTGATCATAGCTCGCTGCAGCGTCAACCTCTTGGGCTCCAGTGATCCTCCAGCTTCATCCTCCTGAGTAGCTGGGACTATAGGTGCATGCCACCACTCTCTGCTATTTAAAAAAAAAAATTTGTAGAGATAAGGGTGTCACTATTTTGGCCAGCCTGGTCTTGAACTCCTGGCTTCATGTAATCCTTCTGCATCAGGCTCTAAAGTAGTGGGATTACAGGCTTGAGCTACCATGTCAGGCCTGGAACTGGTTTCATTTTTCTGAGCATTTTAAAATTTTTTTCTTAGTTACTTGTCAGAACTTACTTCTGGTACCTGACTTATGATAGTTGGAGTTATCATTTTTTGACTTTCAGATGGTGTGAAAGTGATATGCATTCAAGTAGAAATAGTACTTCTAGTATTTATACAACTATTCTATCTTCTCTTTCAATAGAGTATTCAATAAATTGCATGAGATATTCAACACTTTGTTGTAAGATAAGGTTTGTGTTAGATAATGTTGCCCTACTGTAAACTAATGTAAGTGTACTGAGCACATTTAGGATAGAATAGGCTGAGCTAGTGGATTACATATATTAAATGTATTTTCAATGCATGATATTGAAAAATCTATATCTCATATGGTGTTTGACCACTGATATCTCTGCTTTTTATTCTTAATATTTAGTTTGAATTTATAGAAACTGCACATGTATCTGCACAGCTTAGTGGTCACCAATGATTTGAGAAGAAGTTTTGCTCAAATATCTGGAGGTTATAAATCTATCTTCTGTCAATCCATCTGTGTGTAGTTTAAAAAGCTCCTGCAAAATGCAGCTAGTTCTTACCTCCCTCTGGTTTTACTTTGCACCGGGCACTTCTGGGTCTCATCACTCATATCTATAGCTTCTAAGTCACCAGGAATGTGTGTAGAGATTGTTTCAGCAATATGGCTCTATCTTACCCAGGAATCTGCTATTTACTGTTAGCAGGTGTACTACTTGCCCCAAACAGGGCATCATCTTTGACTAACAAAGCTGTGGGCTTTTTCTGTTCATTCCCTATGGAGTTCTGCATGTTTAGCTGGAAACACTGAAGAATTTTACTTCATTCCTTGGCTTTACTCAAGTTCACCCGCTTTGGCAGCAAGCTGCTAGCTTTATTTGCTATCCTCATATTGGTAAAACTCCAGTTCTGTATTTCATGCTGACTGAGCTGGGGGTAGAAGGGTGCTGTCACAGGCAAAAGGCTACAGACTTTTTCTGTCCTTACTCAAAGCACTAGTACTTTTTTTTCTATAAAGAATATACATCTTTAATTATTTTATGCTTCACCAATTTTCAGAGTGCTGAAATAGTTTTGATATTTTAGCTTTATATGTGTGTTTGTTATTTATTTTTGCACAGAAGATTTATTAAACTCTTTGTGATGCCATAAACAGAGATGCCTTCTAAAATGCATTTAAATGAACATAATAGCCATGCTGAAATGGAATGAGGTTATTTACTAACATAAGTAATTTTGGACTTGAGAACTTGAACTCTTCACCCTCAGTTTAAAGAGAAACCAAGGACTTAAAAAATAGAGAATCCTGGTCCCTGGATTTCACATTCATGAAGAAATGCACAGTCAATTTTTAAGATGCCTTCTTTGTATTCTAGAACTGAGCAAATTAGTGATTACACTCTACATAATGGGAGCTATGATTGTCTTTAATAGAGATAAGAATTAGAAATAGGAAAAGGTAGCTGGGTGCGGTGGCTCATGCCTATAATCCCAGCACTTTGGGAGGCTGAGACGGGTGGATCACGAGGTCAGGAGATCGAGACCATCCTGGCTAACATGGTGAAACCCCGTCTCTACTAAAAAAATACAAAAAAATTAGTCAGGCGTGGTGGCGGGTGCCTGTAGTCCCAGCCACTTGGGAGGCTGAGGCAGGAGAATGGCGTGAACCTGGGAGGCAGAGGTTGCAGTGAGCCGAGATCATCATACCACTGCACTCCAGCCTGGGTGATAGAGCAAGATTCCATCTGAAAAAAAAAAAAAAAAGAAAGAAAGAAATAGGAAAGTGCAAAATAGGAGGAAACTTGTGGAATTGTTTAAAAACTACCTTTTTCTTATTTTTTAGTTACTTGTGTGTGTGTTTTAAGTTTATGTGGAAATACTTTTAGACCTAAAATTTGAAAAATATGGTAAAAATGATTCCCATATGCGCCTCTTTCAGCTTGCTCTAATGTCAGCATCATAAATAACCACAGTATAAGTATCACAACCATGAAATGAACATAGATATAATGTTATTTGTTAACTCATTTAAAATACCATATGGATTTCACTGATTTTTCCTGTTGATGACTTTTTTTATGTTACAAGATAAAATTCAGGTTTCTGTATTTTATTTGGTTATCCTGTCCTCAATATCTTTAAATCTGTGATAGTTTTTCACTTTTGTTTCTCTTTCATGGCCTTCAAACATTTGAAGTTTACTGTCCAGGTATGTTGAAGAATGTCCTCCTAGTTGGGTTTGTATATGGTGTTTACTACTGATTCAATTCACACCATTAATTTTTGGCAAGAATAATACAGACAGGATGTATCCTCAGTGCTTCACATCAGATGTTACATAATGTCAACATGTCTTATAGGTGGTAATAAACGAATATGATCAATGAAATCCCATTTGGAAGGAAGTTTTGGACAAAAATAATGAAAACAACTGCTTCTATCACTCTTTCTACTAGGTCATTGCAGACGTCATTAGGAATAATCTATTTCTTCCTTATCGAATATGTACTTTATTTTAACAAACTTTAATCTTTTTACAGTCTACTGCATCACAGAGAAAATTGAAGAAATAATTTAGTTAACTTTTAAATGGCAAATGTTTCCATAATAACCATTTGCCACTGAAATGTTGATAGCCTGAAGAAAGAAAAAGAATGGGATTTATTCAGCCATGGTAGTATCTTCACATGAACAGCTTTTACCGAGTCAACTATTTGGATAAATAAATAGAATTTTCTACTACTTAGAATGTTGCAAAATTCAAATGGAGCAGTGTAGCATGCACTGAGCTACCTCTACTGGGAAAGTTAAGAACCACTGAGGCTATATAAGGATTCATACAGTGAGTCACTATTTCTGGAAACCTGGGATTCTGGTGCCTCAGTTGAACAGAGTCCAAGAATCAAAGTCCAAATTGTTCAATGATTTTTTTTTAGAACTGCAAAATGTCCAAATAGAGCAGAGACGCTAAAACTGAGTGGCCACCACATTAGCTGTCTGTAAAGGAAGCAGCTGGTAAAATCTAGTAAACACTGATGGTCTTGTTGAGGTTTTTGTTTCATGTTGAATCACTGTGGGAGGTAAGTTATAATCCTGCTGACAGTAATAAACTGCAAAATCTTCAGGCTGCAGGCTGCTGATGGTGAGAGTGAAGTCTGTCCCAGACCCACTGCCACTGAACCTGGCTGGGATGCTAGTGGCCCTGGTGGATGCACCATAGATGAGGAGCCTGGGCGCCTGGCCAGGTTTCTGCTGATACCAGGTTAAGTAGCTGCTGCTAACACTCTGACTGGCCCTGCAGGAGAGGGTGACTCTTTCCCCTGGAGACAAAGACAGGGTGGGTGGAGACTGTGTCATTACAATTTCTCTGGTGGTATCCAAGATTGGAAATAAAACAGAAATGCACTCATGTAATCTAGATCAAACCAGCTGTCTTTGAGTAGAGCCAAAATTGTTGATCTACATTGAATTTTAATTATATTTCTTGCTGAGCAGAGGTGGCAGGAGTTTTCACTGATGTGCAAAACCACCTCATGTTCCCCTCACCTGGGAGCCAGAGTAGCAGGAGGAAGAGAAGCTGAGCTGGGGCTTCCATGGTTCCGTCTGGGTCCTAACTGAGCAGTTCCTTCCCAGGGCTCTGACCCAGGCATTGATATGGGCTCTGGAAGGTAGGGCAGCTGGGAGGGACATGCAAAGCAGCTGGGTGGGAGCTGAGCTTCCAGCTGCAGAGACCACCTGCTTCTTCCTCTCTGCACTGAGCGTCCTGTGCCTCCCTGGTTGTCAGGCCAGAAAAGTCTGTTGGCTCAGTCTGAGTGTAGAACTCCTCCCTTGTGCTCACATAATTTCACTCCTGTGCCTTTCTTCTCTTCAATCACCTAAATACACCCGTATGATATTTGGCACAAGTCTGTTAAGAACAATATAAAAGGCTGTGTTTTCATTTCTCTCTTCCTGTCCTCAGTATGCCCAGTCATCTCCCTAAGTGCATTATTGGATCTATGGAAATGAAGAGTCTGTTAGAACTTAATCTTCCAGATAGACATTTTTTTTTTTTTTTTCTGAGACGGAGTCTCGCTCTGTCTTCCAGGCTAGAGGGCAGTGGTGCGATCTCCACTCACTGCAAGCTCTGCCTCCCGGGTTCATGCCATTCTCCTGCCTCAGCCTCCCAAGTGCCTGGGATTACAAGCGCCTGCCACCACGCCCAGCTAATTTTTTGTATTTTTAGTAGAGACGGGGTTTCACCATGTTAGCCAGGATGGTCTCGATCTCCTGACCTGGTGATCCACCCGCCTTGGCCTCCCAAAGTGCTGGGATTACAGGCATGAGCCACCGCGCCCGGCCCAGATACACCTTTCATTTGCTTATTAGTAATGTTTTCTGAGGGTCCTGAAGCTTTCCATTAACCCAGACACATACCCTCTTTGAGTTAAAAACTTCTGTTTACAGTCACATGTCCTGGCAGCCCTGACATAGATGCTCCATGGCTTGCCGATTGCTTGAAATTAATCAAGTAACTTAACTTCCCTGTGTCTCGGTTTCCATATCTGTGTAACTGTGACAATAGTGGTACCTGCCTTACAGTGCTGTAGACAGTTTAAAGAAAATAAGATAAAACATTTACAATAGTATTCAGGACATTATGTATGTGGCAATTAATTTTGTTTTCATTGTTTAAATATTCAGCACTACAGTCATCATCATTATAAATATACTTAGCATGGAAAATAGTCTTAAATCTAATCCAAGAATGTTTTATCCACAGTCAAATTAAATTCTAAGGCATTTTCTTCAGTAACTGTACACAACTCTTAAAATCCTAATGATTTGATCTTAATCTGTGCTAAAGTACTCAGACCTTCCATCATTCCCATCCATCCCTGTCTAACGCATTACTTCTCATCATCCATTATTTAAATGTTACCCTATAAACGGTCCCCATGTCCTGTTGCTGTCCTTCTTTCTTATGTAATCTTTATTCTACCTTGTTATCTTTTATGTTATTCTTGCCCCAGGACTGACAATAAGGAAAAGCTACCATCATTTCTTGTAGACTTGCTCCAGTATAATTTTTTCAGGCTTGTTGTCTTGGAAATGAGGATTGTGTCTTGCAAAGAAACATATTCATTGGGTCAATGTGTTATGAAATAAAAGATTTTATCTACTTATGATCCAATAATTAATTTAGACTGACTTGAACAGATTTTTAATGACAAAAAGGAGAAGACGATATAAGAGAAAAATTTAATACAATAGAAAACACAAGCTAATATAACGCTTGCTTCATGGATTTTTACATGTATATTAGACATATGCTGGGTATATGTGCGCAACGACAATCTAAAAACTGAATGATAACTAGCTTAAGGAATGCCTGCATTACACTGAGTCTTGCCCACTTTTCCAGTTATGAAAAGAAAGCTACAGCACTATTTGTATGAGTATCAAACCTTCTAGATGCTGTGATAGAGGTAGAGAAGATTTACTGAGACCAAAGCCTTGGAAGTAGTAGATGCTTGTTCTATGATATTATGTGGCTGTGGTTGCCGTTGTTAGGAAATACAGTGGGAGTGAAAGCAAGGAGAAGATTTACAAGCTCTGCTCTTCCTCATACTCACAACCCCCTCTAGAGATGGACAGATGTTGGTCCAGGAATCTCTGACACCTCTTAGAAGCCTTTTGCTCTTTCCAGAATGTTTCCTGACAAGTATTGTTTTGAGTCACAGATTAGGTGAAACTAGGTGTAGAAGAAAGGACTAGAGCAAGGGAAGAAGTTTTCCATCCCAGACAGTTGTTGTAGGAACAGGGAAATTGAATTTTTCATAGATTTATGTGACACTTGTATCATGTTGGGGAGAGAGGCATCAAACCAGGCTCATTACTGAAAGAATTATTACGTTATTTAAGAGAGAAAGAACTGTGAATTTCTTGTCAAATAGATGTTTAAAATTCAAAACTACTATTTTTTTTTTGGAGATAGAATCTCACTCTGTCACCCAGGCTGGAGTGCAGTGGCACAATCTTGGCTCGCTGCAACCTCCCTCTCTCCATTTAAAGCAATTCTCCTGCCTCAGACTCCCAAGTAGCTGGGATTACAGGTGTGTGCCAACATACCCAGCTAATTTTCATATTTTTAGTAGAGACGGGATTTTGCCATGTTGGCCCGGCTGGTCTCAAACTCCTGACCTCAGGTGATCTGCCTGCCTCGGCCTCCCAAAGTGCTGGAATTGTAGGATTGAGCCACTGTGCCTGGCCCTACTGATGTATTAATATTATTCATCTTCTTGAATACACCAAGTGGTAAAGTGCAAATCCACACTTTAAACTTGAGATTTCTCCTCCTATGTGAATTATACTAGTGAGGAACAAAAAAATTCTCTGTTGGTGGGGAGATGATGTTTGACAGCGGTCAGTTTGTGAAGCAGAGGCTTATGTCACAGGACTTTTTACAGTATTACATATAAACATGGTGAATGGCCTCAAACACAGAAGAATCAGCTTTTTTCATGAGCCATACTACCACCAAGAAAGAACTGAATTGAAACCTGTGACTACTTGATGAAGGGTGTATAAAGAAGAGGGAAAGATTTGGGAGGCCAAGGCGGGTGGACCACGAGGTCAGGAGATCAAAACCATCCTGGCTAACATGGTGAAACCCCATCTCTATTAAAAATACAAAAAAATTAGCTGGGCGTGGTGGAGTCCCAGCTACTCGGGAGGCTGAGGCAGGAGAATGGCATGAACTGGGGAGTCGGAGGTTGCAGTGAGCCAAGATTGCACCACTGCACTCCAGCCTGGGTGACAGAACAAGAATCTGTCTCAAAAAAAAAGAAGAGGGAAAGAAAAATGACACAAAACACAATGTCATAAATGGAAAGGAAGAAGTCATTACACAGCCTACAGGAGTAAAAAAATAAAGAGAGGATATTATGAGTAATTTTATGTCAACTAACTTGACAAAAGTGGTGCAGGGCAGGTTCTTGGCTACACTCAGGAAGGAATGCAGCGTAAGCTGGTGGTAGAAGAAAACAGCTTTACTGAGGTGGCAGTGTTACAGCTTTGTGTCTGTTCTTGTGAAACAGAGCTACCACATAGGCATTGTGCCAAGAGCAGTAGCGTAGGGGCAGTTTTGCAGTCATATTTATCCCCACTTTTAATGACATGCTAATAAAGGAGTGGGTTATTCAGGAATAGCTAGAAAATGGGCAGTAACTTTCAGGTTTTGCCATGGCAATGGTAAACTGATATGGCACTGGTGGGCATGTGTTATGGACAGGTGCTTCCAGTGTCTCTTCCTTGTGTCAGCCAGTCTTCAATCTGGTCCTGGGTTGAGTCCCACCTACCTCCTATCTCATTGCTCCCTCAGAGATTAGATACTCCTCCTTAATCTTAAGGGGACTGCAGAAGAGCAGAGTCCCTTTTCTGTAAGTGCTTCCTGCTGACTTTATGGGGGCAGGCCTTCCCTAGCCTTTGAGGAGTAAAAATCTTTGGTACCTGAACTAAGGGGTCCAATGGCACGATGCATTCATTTGTGGGGTCAGAAGACAGAATGGGTTGGAAGACTTATGACAGACCGTATCATCTTTACATGAAATTTAGAAGACATAAACTTTACTAGGATGTTAAACAAGAAAATTATAATTGGAAGAGAGGGAAAAATTAATGCTCCTAGGTCCACCTACGGAACCATGTTATTAATCCATGTGTTTGCAAAACAACAACCTTAAGTTTTCTGTTTTATAAATGGAGGTTGTGGTGTCCCCCTTTTGTGGCTGTAGGACCTTGTAAGAAACAGGTTTAATCCTGGGCAGCTGTACCCAACTAGTGGCTTCCTGAAGCCTAACAGTAATTAAGAGTAATAAAGAATATCTGATAATGGCTCCTTATTCTGGTTATTATTGATTCTTGGGGGATCATTTTGTTGTTGTTGTTGTTGTTGTTGTTGTTTTTTGAGATGGAGTCTCGCTCTGTTGCCCAGGCTAGAGTGCAGTGGCACAATCTTGGCTGGGCTCACTGGAACCTCTGCCTCCAGTTTTCAAGCTATTTTCATGCCTCAGCCTCCTGAGTGGCTGGGATTACAGGCATGTACCACCATGCCCAGCTAATTTTGTAATATTAGTAAAGATATGGTTTTGCTATGTTGGCAAGGCTGATTTCGAACTCCTGGCCTAAGTGATCCGCCCATCTCAGCCTCCCAAAGTGTTGAGATGAAAACGTCACAGGAGCTGATGAAAAAGGAAAAGGAGACAGCAATGATCCCAGGCCTTTTTAAAGGGAGAACAAGCTGAAAGCAGCAAAATACAACAGTTAAATCTCTAAGACACTAATCTCAGAAGTTTTAAAAGAAACTCATTATCGTATCACAGGCAAAATTTTTTGTTTTACTTGTTTTTTTTTTTTTTTTTTTTTTTTCTTTTTTTTGAGATAGAGTCTCGCTTTGTCACCCAGGCTGGAGTGCAATAGCGTGATCTTGGTTCACTGCAACCTCCACCTCCCAGGTTTCAGCCATTCTCCTGCCTCAGCCTCCTGAGTTGCTAGGGTTACAGGTACATGCCACTGTGCCTGGCTAATTTTTGTATTTTTAGTAGAGACAAGGTTTTACTATGTTTGCCAGGCTGGTCTTGAACTCCTGACCTCAAATGATCCTCCCACCTTGGGATTACAGGCATGTAATCCCAAAGTGCTGGGATTACAGGCATGGGCCACCATGCTCAGCCTTAAAGCTGTATTTTTATTAAGTAAAGTGTAGAAGAAAAAGTGTAAATAAAGTGACAGAAGGAAAACACAAGGCTGTTATGGAAAATGATAACCTTAGGGCAGAAAACAAGAAAAGGCAAACCAAGATTTCCATAGGGTGAGGCTCCAATCCACAATCCTCGGATGAATGTCAATGCTAAAAACCCTGGAGCCTCCAGGGAGTGGCCAACAGTACTAAATGCTGAAAACCCAGAGTACACGAGTATCAGCCTATGAATGTCCCACACCAAATGCCAGGAAACCCTGGAGTATCCAGGGGCTGACCAGTGCAGAAAATCCTGGAGCCTCAGTGGGGTGGCCAACAATGAGCCCCAAAGGCCTGGTTGGGGCCATAGAACAATGTGACTCTGGCTTCTTAGAGTCAACAGAACAGGAGAATTCTTACATCCAAGTGTCCTGCCTTAAACAATTGCACAAACATAATTAGTAGGGACCCAAAGAAAAAACTGCAAAGCAAACACATATATCAGGACAGAAAATAAGATAAAATGGCTGATGGATAAATAAAATGTCATTAGAGGAGAAATGACTAAGAGAAAGATCAATGAGGATGTAGTCAGGTGTGCTATGGGGGACTTCAAATGGACTATTTAGCCAAAGGCCTTATTTCCTGGACCATCTGACATAGGGCAGGTGGGTAGATGGGACACTTACAGGTGTGCAGGAGCCAAAATGGTGCCAAGCAGTCTCTAACATGAGGCCTGCGTGAAGATCTCTCCAGGCTCCCCAGCTTGGGTGGGTTGAACTCCCACGGGTGAACTGGTGCATGGAGCGGCTGGCCTGCATGAAGCAGTGGCTCTGTGGCCACTTACCTAACTGCTCAGCTCCACCGCCTGTCAGGAAAGATGATGGCTCTTAAAACAGCCTTTGGCCAGTGTTAACAGCTCTGCAATGTTAGCAACTATGTAGCTTTAATCGCTGTAGCGCCGATCTCGCCCTCTCTCACTGATCGCTGACTTGCCACTTCTCCAATAGCTGTCTCGCCCATTGCTGATCGCTATGTCCATCTTCTCACAAAATGCCATCTCTTGCTGTCTCTTGCTGTCTTGCTTCTCCACTGTTTCTGCTGTCTCACCACCACATCAAACACTGCCTCTCACCATGTCCCATTTATCCTCCCTCCTTATTAAACATCCATCTGCATGTCCAGGCCTGGCATCCCCAGGCTGATGTCTCTGTCCTGGGCCAGGTACTGGAGAGTATTGTTCCTCCAACTTCACCAATAAGCCATGGTTCTCTCAAATCAAATTATCTCACTGCACCAATTTTGCCAAGGTTTGCAGTGTACTGGTCACCAACTTACCCAAATCTACTGGGACACAATTCCCATGCACAACGAGTAACATGAAGTGGATTACTACCTACAGAGAGTCAGTCAGAGAGAGCACAAAGCTGCCGGGGCCTGATTGACACTAGACTGTGCCTACCCCACAAGGACTGCAGCTGAGGGACCCTGGAATGCAGCCTACCCTGGGTTTTATGTCTTAGAATCACATGACACACTGGGCTGGAGTGTTGAAGGAATTCCTGTTTCTAGTAGGGACAGAAACAGAACCCAGGCTGTTCTGGCCAATCATGCCCTATCTCAGAATGTTACAGTTCCAGAACATTCTACAGTTATTCCTGAAAACTACAATCAAGAAAAGGAAGGAGACTGGGTTGATTCATGACTAAATGGAAACTGTTCTGCAAATACCACAGTGAAATCAAAACTCAGTATTTTTGAGACTGGGTTATTTCACTTAGTGTAATGTCCTCTAGTTCCATCCATGTTGTAGCATGTGTCAGAATTTCCCTTTTTAAAACTAAATAATATGGAATAGTATGTATATACCACATTTGGATTACCAGTTCCCTCCTTTGTGAACATTTGAGTTGCTTCTACATTTAGCTACTGTGAATAATTTGCTTCTGTATGTGGATATACAAATATCTCCTCAATTTAATGTCTTCCATTACTTGGGTATATGTCCAAAAGTGGAATTGCTGAATTATATAGTATTTCTATTTTTAATCCTTTGAGGAATTGCCATCTTGTTTCCCACAGCAGGTGGGCCATTTACATCACCACGACAGTGTCCACAGGAGTTCCAGTTCCCTAAATTCTCACCAAGACTGGTCATCCTCTGTTGGAAAAAAACATTCTAACAGGCATCAGGTGGGTTTTGTTTTTATTTTTCTAAGGATTAATAATATTGAGCATCGTTTCCTATGCTAGTTATCTAAATATCTCTAAAGTATCTTCTTTAGGGAAATGTCTATTCATATACTTTTCTCATTTTTAACCAGTTATTTTATTTTTACTGTTCACATGTAGAACTTATTTTTGTATAGTAGATATTATTAACCCCTTATCAGATATGATTTTCAAATATTTTCTTCTATTCCACATGTTGCATTTTCACTGTGTAGGTTTTATCTCTTGATGCCCATTTTAAATTTTTATGTAGTCCAATTTAATTTTTTCTTCTTTTGCCTGTATTTTGGTGTTAAAGGTGTTAGTATTTAAATGTCTGTAAATATTCACTTACTACGCTGAGAATGTCACACTTCACCTTCTCTCTCTGATGGTGGAGCTAAGAGTGTTACACTCTCCCATTTTGTCCTAGGGGACAGTGAAGCTAGGTGAGAACCCAGTGGCTTTTCTGAGCTTATTTGTCTTGCATTTTTGGTGACATGGATTGTTGTTCACATCAGCTTCCTCTGGCAAGTCCACCTGGAAAGCATTATATTTAGCAAGAAAAAAGGAGGCTCTGAATGATGTCACTGTAAGCTGTTTATATTCCCTGTTACAAATGTCAAATCCGTGAAGCATAAAGGGATTTACTAGAGGATATTAAATTCCTTAGAAATTGTTGAAAAGCCTTAAGCAACAGGCTCCAGGCAAAGCCTCTGGAACAATTCCAAGAATGGCACTGCTGGCGCAGGTTGGGGAGGAGCTCCTGCTGCCTGAGACTCCACATTCAAGCTGTCTCCTGCAGGAAAGAGAGCAGCTCTTCTCACTACTGCCCCCCGAAGGACAGCTGCTCCGCTATCAACTACTAGAGACCTGACCCCTTTCTCTGCAGACCTGCCTGTGTTGATTACATCTTCATTTCAGTCTCATGTAGATTCATCTGTTTTCATGGATTCAGGGGCTATTTCTGCCCAAGTCCACCCTGTGGCTTTCTATCATAAATACACATCTTTCTACACTCGAATTTCTAGTCATTACTAGTATCAACAGCAACATGCTAGAACCTCACATAAAGATTTCCTTTACAAAGAACATCATGCTCCCCACGTAGCATTGTGCTCCCCAGAATGTGGGGAAAGTCCAATCTGTTCAGCCCAACACCATGTAGGAAAAAAGGCTCTTCTCTCATGAGCCGTTAATCTGTCTACTTATTATTAATTTGTGGGCTAAACTATAAAGACTGGTAAAAATAGCACTTCGAATTCTTTTAACAAAAGGGTGTAAAGAAAAGATTAAATTATTTAACATGCATATATGCATGACTCATTTCGTTATTGTCACCAGCTTCTTTCATATTTATTTTATTCTCTAGTTTCTGGCAATACTTTCTCTATGGTAGAGTCTGGAAAGGCTACTCCTCATGTCCTTGGCTTCCTAAGTCCCAGATGTGGTGAAGAATGCCCATCAGCTGTGTTACTACGGAGTGCTTTTGGATTGAGATGAGGGAGGGGAAATGGCTGAACTCACTCAAATGTGATCATTTTCTTGGTCTAGGTCACAGCCAGGCAACACAGTCCTCTGGGCACAATATCATCACTTGCCATGTTTCTATCAAAATGAAAGTATCTTTCTTGACTGTGGAAAACATAGGGGTGGGGGCGGGGAGGGTCAAGTAATAGCAAAAGGAGTACTTGGAGTTGCCTGAGCTGCCACTCTGGTTTCCCCAAATGTTTTCAATCCATTTCATTCATGATAATAAACACCTTTCTGCCTAACCAGTCATAATGACTTTTCTCAGATCCAACTGATTCAGTGATAAACCTATAGAGAAAAAATAACTACACTTCTCCATGTTTAAGCTGACCAGGATGCTGTCCCTGGTGTTTACACCTCCATATCCCACTATGCGTTTCATCTTCTCTTTGCCTCACTGGTGATCCAAGTACAGGGAATGCTTCACATGACTGTGATCCCTAGAACTTCGTCCTGATGACGGTTGAAATCTTCTCTGAGTTTTACCAGTGGAAATGGCAATAAATAGAAACATTCCAGAAGGTCCCCTAGGTTCCATATTTTCTGTACTTCCTCTCTAAAATATGTAAAATCAATTATGTTTGCTCTTGCTTTTATGGACTCTATCTATGGCCCCAGCACACACGCTAATGCCCTGTCTTGACAATTTATCCAGTATTTTAATAAATGTAAATGGTCACATGCTTATCATATCATTTCTTCCAATTTCATGGAATAATTTCACATCAACTCTTTGGATTAAGAGCCGTCAACCAAAAAACCACAGCCCTGAATAAATAGAAATAGAGTATTTCAAGCTGTTCATTTGGCATAACAATGATGAGTCTACAGCTCATTTTCAAGATATAAATATTCTGTTTATGGGAGTGACAGCACCATTCATACAGTTACTGTTTCAGAGCCTCCACCATATCTGACAGGACAGCAATTCAATAGCACAAGGGTTTGTGTGCCAGCTTTGCTTGACTAATAATGGGTTTTTCTCTGTCTATAGGGAAAGCACATGACAAGAGCATGAGCTACACTTCACTTCACTTTTTTTGAGGTTAATAAGTTGCTTGATCCAAAGCTATATTACAGAAGAACTTCCTGACTCTGATGAAAGCTCTTGGAAAATCCTCAAATAATATTTTATGCAGAAATATAACCAAAAAGGAAGGCAAATTCATATATAGGAAAATAACCAGTGCCCTCCTCACGTTACATGAGGTCTACTAGTATCACCCGACACCAGCTGTTAGTCTGAGCCCTGATGTGTGGCGCAATGTTAGGGGTTCAAGAGACGTCATTCTTCTTGACAAATTAGGTGTTCAGAAGAGCCAGTAGCCCTGTATGTCTCAGTTAGTTGAAACTCATATTATTGAGTCCCCACAGGGACCTCCATAACCTTGGTTCAGGAGACACCTTGGAAACCTGGGAAAGGTGATTGACTGAAGTCCATCTGTTGAATCATCCTCATTATTAAAAGCCTCCTACTCATTAACGGCATTTCGATTAATATTCGCTTGGAAAGCATGTTTTTATTTTGGCTCATTTTTGAAACGTCTAGTCATAGTTCTTCCTGAACCACTTTGTCTGCAATCATCCTGTTGCATTTCTTTTAAGGGCTGATGATCTGTCAAAAGCAACAGCCAATATTATTACATTGCTGTTCTCTTTGCAATGTTATCATCAGATGTAACCCTTGCAGATTAACCACTGTTACGATTTTTACATTTCCAGGGATTTCTTGACAATGGCAATGATGTGACGCCATCCAGCATCTATTTGTGAGAACTCTATTTGACAAATCATCACTGTGGGTGTGAACATAATGGAGACTTTCATAGGATGCAATGGTTAATATTCAACATTAGTCAAAATTTACTCTAGTCCTACCCTTGGAGCTCTACTGGGTTGGAAAAATATTTTAGATAAGGACAATCATTTCATAGAGTTTTAAAAATAAAGGCTAAAATAAATTTTCTGTAGCAAGAGTATGAACTATATGTAGCCAGCATACCCTTTTTTAGTGGCATATAACAAAAATTATTTAAATGTATTTAATTTAAATAATTGTATAAATATGCATATATAATAAACATACTTAAATATAAATACTATACATGTATATTTGTAGCCAACATTTTATCAGATAAATATATGTAACTTTTATGTATCTTATATACATATATGCACATTTTCCATAAATAAGGTAAATTTTAATTTTTTATTGAATACTAGTTTTAATTTTGTCTTTAATTTTCTCTTAATAACTTCATAATTTAATACTAAATGTTCACATTTATACCACCAACTTAAGAAAAAATCGTGTGTGTAGGTAGAGGTGTAAATACTGTATCAGGAAGCTTTTATGCATTACTGATTGGTAACTGGTTAAATCCACAACTCAGTGGCTGATAACAGTAAACATTTGTTTTCGTGTTCATGGATGCTCATGTTCACAATCATCTGGCTGATCAAGAAAGGGCTCAGCTGAGTGGTTTCTCTGCAGGGCACTGAGCTCATCTTCAGCCTACAGATATGAATTGTCTGAGGACGAGGCTGAACAGCAGTGACTACACATGACACAATATTCTTATGGCAGGTCACAGGAGTGAACAACATCCCAAAACAAACTGCACAGTTGAATTTAAGTCCAATAACTTCTAACATAGCTTCACATATTTTAAATATATTCCTTTATTTCAATGAGTACAAATTTTGAAGAAAATGTTTACTCCATTTAATTATAGAGGTATTTGATCATTCCATGGACAAATAATTATGCTTTCAACTTTTACAATTCTGAAAATACTTGCAAATGTAAATTTGCATTAATAAGAAAATAAAGCTGGATGTGTTTTCAACATGTAGCTTTAAGTATATATATATTTTAATGGCCTCAGTGGGGGAAAATCATTTTAACTTATGTAAATATCCCTTTTTGCCTCTCTTGTGTCCTATAAAGTTGCCCAACAAGAGGTCCTCCCATAAGATTTGGAAATCAGAAAAGGATGACTCAATATTCTCCATTGGTACCTAAGGCAGACACAGGAACAGAGGTGAGGGCTGGAGAAACACCTGGAAGGATGCTGCAGGAAGCTGAGAACATCAACACTCCCACCCCTAAGCTTCCAGACAGGACTGAGGACCACATGGTTAGATAGCCCATACTTCAAGGGCAGATGCATTCTGTTTTCTGAGTGAGCGCCATTCAATCCTGCTTCTAATATCAACTTTCCTGACTACTATATCCTTGGCTTTGAAAGGTTGTAGTCTGAACGTTAATCATAGGCATCGGTTCATTCTTGTTATACCCAAAAGAGCCAAGACACCCAGTGGGGAAAGGCACTCAGGGTGTAAAATATTGTTTCTAGAATGCAATTGAAATAGGCCCTGTTATCCCATGGAACTAAGGTTTATGGTTTTTTGAATAAACAGAAATTGACTCCCCCAGTCTTAAAACTCAAGATAGTTACATTTGTCTTATCTGAGTTCTTTTTTCAGTAAACCAACCATCAGGCCTCGTAGATACTATCAAGGAGCTGAAACATACATATCACTGAATCCGGACACTGAGACATCAGAACCTTCACCCATTATGATTGCATAACTGACCTCTTGCTTCCTGTTGACCAAATTATCTTCCTTACCCCTCCCAAATTCCTGTTTTCCCACATTTTGTCCCTGTTATATAAAGTCTTAATTTTAGTTGGTCAGGGAGATACATTCGCAAATGGTGTCCCATCTCCTCGGCTGCAGTACCTGATTAAAGCCTGTTTCTTGGCAATACTTGTTTTAGAGATTGGCTTTCTGCGTGGTGAGCAGCAGGGTGTACAATGAATCCTTGGCATTTTAGTAAGAAAATTCTCTGCAACCTTCACTGCTTTGGCTTCTTGTAACCTGAATTCACATTTAACTGCAACTTCTGAGACAACTTGATATAATTGATATAATTAGTGAATCCTAATTCACTTTGTCCACCACTGCTTACCAGTCTGAGCTTGCCAGCTCCCAACCCTTACTAGTGCCAGTGAACTTTCTGAAAATGCAAAAGGTAATATTTTCCCTTTTTCATAAAACACTAACCTTCTCTTCGTACTTCCAATATATTGAAGACCACTGAGTTTTCCTGTGTGTCCAATTTGGCAAACATTTCTTTGCAAATAAAACATGAAATTTAGAGATTCCGCTCTACATTTTATTTAGACTTCAGTAGTTTAGACTCTAATTTTCTGTATTAAGACAATTCCTGCTTAGAATATCTATAGTGGTTTCTTCTCTGTTATTTGAATTCCAACCAAAGCCCTAAACTAGACTCCTTAGGTGTCAAGATCTCTGCCTTTATTAAATCAGGAGAGGCATTGTTATGTCTGTGCAGCTGGGGCTTACAAAGAAAAAGGAATTGGGTTGCAGAGGTGATTTCAGGTCCCCCTCTACCAACACCATCAGAGTGTGGTTGCATCTGAGGAACACTCTCAGGCGATGGAGGCATCAGGAGGAGCAGCTGGGGCAGCCCAGCCTCACACATTTGCTTCCCTGGGGGTTTTTGTTTGGGTGTGTAACACTGTGGGAGGGTAACTATAATACTGTTGACAGTAATAAGTTGCAAAATCTTCAGACTGCAGGCAGCTGATGGTGAGAGTGAAATCTGTCCCAGATCCACTGCCGCTGAACCTTGATGGGACCCCACTTTGCAAAGTGGATGCAGCATAGATCAGGAGCTTAGGGGCTTTCCCTGGTTTTTGCTGATACCAGGCTAAATAACTGCTAATACCCTGACTCGCCCGACAAGTGATGGTGACTCTGTCTCCTGTAGATGCAGAGAATGAGGATGGAGACTGGGTCATCCGGATGGCACATCTGGCACCTGAGATTGGAAACATAAAAACAAATGTCCATACAATTAATCATGTTGTAAGAGAACTTCCCTGAAGGGCCAGGCTGTACCAAGCACACTGGGCTGAGTAAATTCCTAGTGTTCTCCTTCCTTACCTGGGAGCCAGAGCAGCAGGAGCCCCAGGAGCTGAGCGGGGACCCTCATGTCTATGCTGTGTCCTGACAGGGTCTGACTCCTGCATGAAGTGTGTCCAGCCTATTAATAAGTCTTCAGGGCAGGAGGTTGTGCCCTGGGAACATGCAAATGAGCAGGGGATGGGGCTGACTGGGCACAGCTGCAGGGCTGGCTCATCTCAGTAACTCAGCACCAGCTCAGTATCCCCAGGTGTCCCAGGAAAGACCAGGGTAGCACAAATTTGTCTGTGGTGAATGTGTTTCTACTGGAGAGTAGTTTGTTATGAGAAACATTTTTTATGTATTTTTTTGAAAATTTGAAATATTCCTCAGGAGTCGACGGAGTAATGTATTTCATTGGCACATGGGGATTATTTGGAATATCTTGTTTGTAGGAAATACATAGTAAAATGTTAAACAGTATGATTCTCAGGACTTCAAAAGACTCTCATATGATTCGGGTTAGGGAAGGAGGTACTTTGTCCTATACTTCAACATTTCTGTGAGTTTTAACATTGTTCCTTTCTAAAAATATTAAAAATAAAATTTATTGACATGATGCTATACATATTTGTAAGTATTAGGTAATGGTGTTATGCCATTGTTCTTACCACTATAAGATCAAGCAATTTACTACAGATACAGAGAGATGATACCGAGTTTCCTCAATGCATGCAGCACTCACACATCCACCATTATCAAGAGCTACAGGTCTCTTTAATACCCAGAGACTAAATTCACTTCACCTTATTCTTGTTTTGGGCACCTTCATTGTCTACCTTCTTTTCTGTCATTGAGTATTACTTTCCAAAGTTCTTCTCTCTTATTGAGGGTGACCACTGCATGGAGCATGTCCCTGTCATGCACCAACAATGCCACTTTCTTCTTTTACGTTTTATCAGGGACATCATCCTGACCCAGACACCATCCTCCCTGTTAACATCTTTAGGAAAGAGACAATCCCTTATCAAGCAATTGCCAACTTACATGGAGAAATCAGCTGGATCCAGATGAAACTGGACATGGATTTGCAGTCATTATATCTCACATCTCTACTGTGCCAAAAATGTCCCAGCCTGGCTTAGTAGCAGGGGACGTGGATCCAACTACATCAGCATCAGTGGGCTGCAGCCTAGGACTCCACAAAATTTTACTGATGCCTGACTAGGGGAGACAAATCACAGTGCTGTAGCCCATGCACAAACCTTCCTGCTGCTTTGTAAGCCACCTGAATTTTAAGGGAACTTGCTTATATTGGGAGAAGGGAAGAAAGCTCCATTTGTCCTCTAAATGTTTGCTGAAAATGAACTGACAAAAGAAAGACTAATAAGAGAAAAGGCAAGCAAAATTCACTTAAAGTGCAGTGGGATATCATAGCGGTGTGATTACTCAGATAACTCAATGAGATCCAGTTGTTCATACTTCCTTTCTAGCGAAGAGGTAATTGGGAAGTGTAGGCAACCTGGAGAGAATAGATGAGGATAGAAGTGCATCCTCAAAAGAACAGGTAATAGCCTGTCTGGATAAAGCATCAACTTCTAATCTCTTCTATTTTTGATTCCTATTTTGTGTTAATCTTCCCTGATATAAAATTTCCCAGGAAGAATTTTCTTGACAATCAGTTTCCTTCTGGAGAAGCTGCTTTTAAGCAGATAAAGGAGTGAGATAAAGGAGTGGAGTGAGCATACCCCAACAGCTAAAACTCACAAGTTAGAGGATTTATAAGTCAGACTCTAAGTCTCAGATTTTGTACCGCCCTCTTGCTTCATAAAAATGCTTTGTTATTTTTTAAATTTTACTTTAAAGAAGGACAATTTTGGAGAATATATTAATTTTTGGTGGAATGAATAATGTCCCCACCCCAAAAGATATCCAGGTCCTTGTCTCTGGAACCCAAGTTTTATAGGAGTTATTAAGAAATTATTTTAGGCAGATAGAGAGGAAAAGGCATCCTTGGTAAGATTTTGTTTCTTTTAAAGCAACTCCAGACATGTTTCTTGTCTAATAGGAAAGCTCCGGCTCTTAGAGCCAGGCTGGCAAGATTTGATATGCAAATGAAGGCCATTAGAAACTGGGTCCACCCTAACATGGCTATTCCTACCTTCTTCTTCCTTGCCCCTACATGTGCCTGGCAACATGGCTGCCCCCACATATCCCCATGTGTGTAGAACATTATGATGCCCTACATGTGCATATTGAAAGGCTAGGGTGGGAGGGCCAGTTTTTGCTCAGGCTATGTGAATAACATGCCTGGTCAAACCAATCCCTTGAGCCCTTTGCAAATCAGACACCACCTCCTTCATTCTCCTCATATAAGCAGCCACTTTTCCACCACAGATGGAGTTTTCTCTTTGTTGGAATCCCCTGTCCCTCTGTCTTTGTACAGGGTAGCTGTTTAGCTGTTTTATTCTTCCTTCCTTCTTACATATTAAACTTTTCTCTCCTTAAAACCACTCCACATCTTTCTGTGGCATTTTATCCAAAGCAGTGTGAAACAGCAAGAACCCTGGTGTTCCTCCAGTCATTGGAGCCATATCATAAGGATTCTACCTTATGATAGATAGCAAAAAATGACCTTGATAGATGTAAGTTAAGGACTTTGAGAATAAGCTTCCTGGTTATCCAGATGAAATCAATACAATCACAAAGGTCCTTAAAATAGAGGAGGAGGATTGCAGTCAGAGAGGAGCTGGGACAATGGGGACGGATGTTGTTTGAGGAAGGAAGGGGCCATGGAACCAGAAATATGGGAGCACATTGAAGATAAGAAGCAGAGAATCCAGTTCTCTCCTCTGGAGCCTCCAGAAGGATTACAGCCCCACTGACACCTTAGCATTAGCTCAGTGAGACTTCTGACCTCCAGAACTACAGGGTAATACATTTATGTTGTGTGAAGCCAATAAGACTGTGGCAATTTAAACAGCAGCGTTGGAAACTAATGCAAGGGGAAGAGATGTCTTTCAGCTCACTGAGAGCATGCTTGTCCTCTGTTCTTGGAAATATTTCCACCTTGTTATCTGGTGTCAGACAAGAGACAGAGAAAATTTTTTCTGAGAGAAGAGCTCGTACAAAAATTCTTTTTAGCTAGAAATTCTCTTTGGAAAATCCCATGATTATCTCTTATACGATCTGGGTATCACAGAGTTTAGGGGTCAGAACTCACAGCACATGATAGGAGGAAGAGGGTTTTGTTAGTTTGTTTTCATATTAGGAGGGAAAATTAGATTTTCAGGACACAATCTGAGAGGGACAGACTGGGACAGGGATATTGTAAGAGAAAGAGGAGATGTGGAAGGTGTCAGAGCAATGAAACATGTGTCCCTGCTTCCAAATCTAAAATAAAGTCATTGATTTTAGAAGGTGAAGCAAAGCTCTTCACCTTCCATCTTCTTATGAAGGATCAAATTCTACCCAGAGTTCCTGTCCCTCCTTTACTCCCCTGACATTGTATTGTGGAGCTAATCACATGTGCCTTAATCCCTGCTCCTGTCCCGGGCTGGGAGAGGCTCACTGTCCTCACCATGCCCAGCAGGCTAGAGCTCATGCCCTAGACACCAAAGGAGAAGAGGATGGTTTCTGTACAGGAGGTAAGAGCTTTACCACATGTTACATTTCACTATAATTCTAAGTAAAGTTGTGTGGAGAGAAGAGAACATATGGGCAACTCTGTCTGGTAGAGTTGGAAGAGGGCAGTTTCTGAGAGTGACAATGAATTCACATTTCTAAATTTTCAGATGGCAAATGCTAGCTTTAGCAATTGTGGAAATGTGGACTTTGAGTTTAAGAACAAGACAGACTTTCAGATACTGCAATAAATGAGGAGACATTTGGAATAGGGTCCTTAGCCCAGGGCTAAGGTCAGGCTGGCAGTGCCTGAGAGATGCCAGGCACTGGCCCTGGGCTGTGGAGGAAGCAGCTGCTCTCCTGAGCCACAGGGCTGAGAATCTGGGAGGAACCACAGGCCCTGGCCACAGGGCTGCCTGGCAGGGCTTCAGGGAAGGAAACTGCTCACAAATTCAGGGGAGCTGCATTAAGCATATATCCCCCAGCCTGGCAAGAGTAAAAGTCTCAGAGACCCAGACCTTAGGGCTGGTGCTGGGATCCTGGGCTGGCTGCTGTCAGCTCTGCCCTCCCTGGTGCTGAATGACTGGGACCCTGCTGGAGCCAAAAACGGACAGTCAGCAAATGTCCTTAAAGTCTTTACTCAGCCAGACTCTATTCTGCTTGGTCAGAAAAGAAACACACGCTACACAAATAAGCATAAAATTATATGTATCTGTAATATGAATTTCTATTGTGAACTTTACATATTGAATACATATTTAAGAAATAAGTTGTATTTATATATTTGTATATACTATGTATTTATGAATAAATATGTGATGCATGTTTATATATAAAGAGATATAACTTTGGTTGCTAGTATAAGGTATAGTTTTAAACTTAAATAAATTTAACATGAACATTGAAAATGAGCACTGGGTGCACCACCTCATGGCCCTCCTCACTCCAGGACCTGAGGGTCATAAAGCTCAGTACCCTCTTCCATGTTCCCCCTGGGCTGAGAGAAGTGAACTGCCCGTTGCTGAGGATCATGAGTGACCTGAGGGGGGTCTACGGAATCACAGAACAGCAGATGCCCAGGAAATGGATAGTGGGTCTGGGCCCTGAATGGAGGGACGTTTTGTTTCCAGAGCTCAGCATAGACAAGTCCTCCTCTGGTCATTTCTGTCAAACAAAGCAGCATATATGGCTCAGAGGCTGCATTGTCACAGGATGAAGCCCCTCCATGGCTCATTCCCAGCTTCCCCTCTGACTGGGGTGATGTGGGATCTCTGCCCAGCTTTCATGGCTCACCAGCTGCTGGGACTCTGTTGACAATGGCCTATGTCTGCCCCATGCACAAGCTTCTCAATAGTTGCCATTTTACTTTCTGGTCTCCAATAACCACAACTTGCCAACCATGACCCTTCCACAAAGATTCATAGAGTGGGGTCAGAACTATGGGTTCAGCAACGTGCCGGGGCATGCAGGTAAGAGACACAAGGCGTGGCCAGCCCGTGTCTGAAGTGAGGATGAATTTGCATCATGAATTCAGAGTAGGAGATGGGAGAAAACATCCTGACATGCTCCAGGCAGTGATGCCCACAAGATACACTAGAGGTGCCCATAGAGGAGGTGGGAAGGGGATTTCAGGCAGAGGGGATGCGAATTTAGAGATGTCCCCCAGCCTGTTCCCCTGAGAAGATTTCAGACACTTAGTAGCCCCTGGGCACTTTGAGAGACCGAGGAGAAAGGACCATGTAAGGCCAAGAATTTGATGCCAGCCTGGGCAACACAGGGAGACCCCATGTCTACAAAACACACACACACACACACACACACACACACAATTTGTTAAAATGTGTGAAAAATAGCATCACAAAGTGATTATGTATGAACATTTGCTCAGAAAATTAGAAAACAAAGCAATGTCTTCTGAGCTAACAATACTATAATAAAGATGTCAATTTTTTAGCTATAGTAATACAGAGAACATGATATTGTCTATCTTAACCATTTCTAAGAGTGTAGTGCAATGCCATTAAATATATTCACATTGCTCTGCTATTATTACTGATACTAAATCCAGAACCATTTTCATCTGAATAAAATTAATATCTATATCCTTTAAACAATACTCCCCCCCATTTCCTCTATCCCTACCGCCAGCAACCTCCATTCCAGTTCTGTCTCTATGTCATTGACATATTTGAAGCAGGTTCACTCTGCACTGGTTACCAACATACTTGAGTGTGGGGAACACAACACCCCCACACAGCAAGTTACATGAAATGGGTTTATTATTTACAGATAAGCAGCAAGGGAACACCACAAAAGTCTTGGACTTATTATGGGTCAGTCCCTCAAGGCACAGGAAAGCCATGTGGAGCTGATGGAGTTGACTATGTGTACCCCACATGCACCACAGCTCAGGAATCCAGGAAAGCAGCCACTCAGGGTTTTATATCCTGAGCTAAGAAGACACACAGGGCTAAAGTGCTAACGGACATCCTATTCTATGGGAAACTGGTATAGAGCACAGGTAGGTTGTTCTGCTCAGTTCCTCTCCATCTCAGGATGTTACGATTCCAGCAAATTCTACAATTATTCTTGAGAACTCATAAAATAAGCAAGAAAGTGGAGAGAACTAAGTCAGTCCAGGGTCATTGGAGAACTGTTTTGCAATTACCCCACCACCTAGACATCCCCCTTAGCAAAGCTAGCATATTTCATATGCCCACCAACTTCCCTTGAACTGGAGGCAGAAGTTTATCTTTTCAGATTGATGAAGCACCTTGACTAACACAACTTCAATGCAGATTATGAAGCCATAGTGAGAGTACATTTCACTGGGCCACGAAAAGCTAGTACCACTGGTGTAGGGTCCAGCCCTGTGGGGCTTAGTGGGGGTTCTCCCCATGTGCAGAGATGAGAGATTGTAATAAAGAAAGACACAAGACAAAGAGATAAAGAGAAAGCAGCTTGGCCTGGGGGACCACTACCATCAAGACGTGGAGACTGGTAGTGGCTCTGGACGGCTGGGCACACTAATATTTATTACATACAAGACAAGGGGGGCAGGGTAAGGAGGGTGGATCTTCCAAGTGATTGATAAGGTGAAGCAAGTCACGTGATCATAGGACAGGGGGCCCTTCCCTTTTAGGTAGCCGAAGCAGAGAGAGAGAAGACAGCATACGTCAGCATTTTCTTCTACGCACTTATAAGAAAGATCAAAGACTTTAAGACTTTCAGTATTTCTTCTACCGCTACCTACTACGAACGTCAAAGAGGAACCCGGAGTATGGGAGGAACATGAATGTGGACAAAGAGTGTGACCATTGAGGCACAGCACCACAGGGAATGGTTTAGGCTTCCGGATGACTGTGGGCAGGCCTGGATAATATCCAGCCTTCCACAAGAAGCTGGGGGAGCAGAGTGTTCCCTGACTCCTCCAAGGAAAGGAGACTCCCTTTCGCGGTCTGCTAAGTAAAGGGTGTCTTCCTAGACACTGGCATTACTGCTTGACCAAGGAGCCCTCAAGTGGCCTTTATGCAGGTGTGACAGAGGGCTCACCTCTTGCCTTCTAGGTCACTTCTAGCAATGTCCCTTCAGTACCTGACACTATACTCTTAGGTTATTCCTAGGTTATATTAGTAATGCGACAAAGAGTAATATTAAAAGCTAATGATTAATAATGTTTATAATAGTGATTGATAATTGTCCATGATCATCTCTATATCTAATTTGTGTTATGACTATTCTTATTCTAACTATTTTCTTTATTCTACTGAAACAGTTTTGCCTGCAGTCTTTTCCTCGGCACCTACGTAATCTTTCACACACACACTGGCAGGAGGGTAAGACTCCCCAAAGCAGTGACTAAGATGTTAAGAAGTGAAAGGGGGATCTTTCAGATGCCCTATTCTCTGCAGCCAGTGGGCCTGCTTTAGGATCACCTCTACTTGTATTTCTAGAATACCCGAGGTGTTTATCCAGGCACAGCAGGTAGTATTGGGTGTTGGTAATTGCGTGGAAAGTCTCCGTTGGGTTCCTCAAGAATGTGCCCATTGTCATGCGGATTGGGCGGTTGTTTCTTGGTCAGAGTGAAGTCTCATGGGGTATCCAAAAACATGACATAAATTCCTTTCAAAGGTCACCATGGTAGCCCCAGCATCTAACTGAGTGACATACATTTAGCTGTCCAGGAAGCAAGCTATGGCCATAGTCCTTTTCCCTACACAGGGGATCCTTTAATAGTTCTGCCACTCAGTTGCTATTTTCCTGACCAGATGGCTGGGTTGTTGGCAATGGCCCATGATTTAGTGGAAATGGAGCAAAATATAGTGTTGGGGGCAGCCTGCATGGCTACTATCATTGCATGAAGTTTGGCCCACTGGGCAGAATGTCCATGTTCAGTGTCAGTCAAAAGATGCCATCCCCTGGCTGGATGGTGGCCTCACCCAGTGGACCCACTGGCATGTATTTTGTACAATCATCAGGGCCCCATGCCATACTGACATAGGCATGTCTCTGAATCGTTGGCTCATTGTGGCCAAAGGAAAAACAAAATTGTCCCCTATGGGTCATTTGTTCCCTTCTAGGAAGCTTGCTATTTGTTTATGGGCATTCATCCATTTGCACATGGATCCTGTGGGAACTGGGTTAGGGCGAATTCTGACTGTACCAGTTCCATTTAATAATTTGGATCTGTTGGGCCTGTCCAGTTTTATTGATTGTGTTTGTAGGCACCAAAGTGAGAATGGGTAGTTAAGGTAGCAGCGTCATCCCTGATGCTCTAGCTATGAGATAATCAGCCCCTATCAGTTTCCTACAGCAAGAAGTTGCCATTCAAAAGAGGCACAACTGGTGGCTTCTGTTGCCACAGGCTCCAGTCAGCATATATAGAAATAGTGGACACCTGGATTTCCATTGAGCAAGCAGCCTCTGAAGGTCTTAAAGAAGTGCCTCAGTCATGCCTTGTTGAACAGATTCCAAGGGTGATTTTGACTAACATGACCAAAAGAACACCCAGGTAAGGTTTCTACTGTCCCCAGTACCCCAAAATACCTACTAGCTTCTGGGTCTCCATCTTATTAGTGGACGCCACCAGGACCAGCAATGATTAAATATACCTGGGATACCTCCTAGGTTTCTTTTTCAGGTGGCCTTGGCATTCAGCCTTCAACAATCCATCATTGGTCTGCCAAACTGGGTTGTTCCATTGTGACACCAGGCTTTGTGACATTTTAATCTTTTTGTAGCAACTATTAAATTTACTAGGTAGTGTTCCGATCTTCACTGAATATGCAGTCCTGCTTTGTGAACAACACTCTGGGACACGGGAAGCTTAGGTGGCAGGCAGGAGTGGATATGCCCCACTGTCGTGTCTTGAATACTTAGCTATGAGTGCGGATAGCCCCTCAGGCAGCAGTGATGTTTTGTGGCACAGCAGCAAAATGTCAGTACCTCTATTGCACTCTGCAGTGAGAACCATGGTCACCAGCACCCAACATAGCCCAAAGGGTGTGGTCCACATGCAGATCAGCACACAAGCACATACTCACCATGGGGTCCTCATTTGTCTTGACACCTTCTGATGTCTTCAGTTTATTTTTTTCCAGGGAGGACCTGGTAATATTGTCAGGTGGATTGCAGCATACAAAAATCCCAGAATAGTCTGAATTCTTTTTTTTTTTTTTCACCTTTTATCTTGAGAGGAATATAGGGCTGGTAGCCTCTGGTGGAGACCTTGGCCCTGTTCCTACCTGTGCCATTCAGACAGACATTTGGGTCTGCAATGTGGCTTAACCAAACAAACACACCGACCAGGCTGCATAAGACTTCCCTCGTGTTTTTCCATGTCTCTTTTATAGAGAGTGAGCCTCCTTTTCTGTGATGGCCATTGTTGTTCATTTTGGTTCCTTATCAGATGCTTCAGGGACCATTGAGATTATCTTTCTTGTGTCATCTTGGGTGACTCAGGGTCCATCTGATTACCCATGTCTTGAGCTCTCTTGCCTCAGGAATGAGCAATCATGCAACTGTCTAACAACTAGAAAATTGTGTACCCCATTCCTATTTCCACATTCTTTTTTCTATGTCTCAATTCAGTCAGCCAGCTGATCCATATTAATGGGAGGAGGACAAATGTCCTGTTTATCCTCCCTCCTCATTAAACATCCATCTGCATGTCCAGCCCTTGCATCTCCAGGCTGATATCTCTGTCCTGGGCCAGGTACTGGAGAGTATTGTTCCTCCAACTTCACCATAAGCCATAGTTCTCTCAAATCAAACCTTCTCACTGCACCAATTTTGCCAAGAAGGTTTGCTGTGCACTGGTTGCCAACTTACCCAAATCTAGTGAGACAGAACACCCATGCACAACCAGTTACATGAAGTGGATTACTACTTACAGAGAGTCAGCATGAGAGAGCACAAAGCTGTCAGGGCCTGATTGACTCTAGACCATACATACCCAACAAGGACTGCAGCTGAGGGACCCTGGAATGCAGTCCACCCTGGGTTTTATGTCTTAGAATCACATGACACACTGGGCTAGAGTGTTGAGGGAATTCCTCTTTGTAGTAGGGACAGAAACAGAGCCCAGGATATTTTGGCCAATCTTGTTCTAGCTCAGAATGCTACATTTCCAGAACATTCTACAGTTATTCCTGAAAACTACTAGCAAGAAAGGGAAGGAGACTGGGTTGATTCATGACTAAATGGAAACTTTTCTGCAAATACCAAAGTGAAATCATAACTCGGTATTTTTGAGACTGGGTTATTTCACTTAGTGTAGTGTCCTCTAGTTTTATCCATGTTGTAGCGTGTGTCAGAATTTCCCTCAGTAATGTGCTTTTGTATGTATATACCACATATGGATTACCAATTCCTTCCTTTGTGAACATTTGAGTTGCTTCTACCTTTTGGCTACTATGAACAATTCGGTTCTGAATGTGGGTATACAAATACGTCCTCAAGTTAATATCTTCAATTACTTGGGTATGTGTCCAAAAGTGTAATTGCTGAGTTATATAGTATTTCTATTTTTATTTCTTTGAGGAATTGCCATCTTGTTTCCCACAGCAGGTGGGCCATTTACATCACCAAGACAGTGTCCACAGGAGTTCCAGTTCCCTAAATTCTCACCAAGACTGGTCATTTTCTGTTGGAAAAAAATCCTAATATGTGCAAAGTGGGGTTTGTTTTTATTTTTCTAAGGATTAATAACATTGAGCATCTTTTCTTATTCTAGTTATCTAATTATCTCTAAAGAATCTTCTTTAGGGAAATGTCTATTCATGTACTTTTCTCACTTTTAATCAGTTATTTTATTTTTACTGTTGACATGTAGAAATTATTTTTGTATAGTAGATATTATTAACCCCTTATCAGATATGATTTAAAAATATTTTTTTCTGTTCCACATGTTGCATTTTCACTGTGTTGATTATGTCTTTTGATGCCCATTTTAAATTTTTATGAAGTCCAATTTATCTTCTTTTCTACCTTTGCCTGTATTTTGGTGTTAAAGGTGTTAGTATTTAAATGTCTATACATACTGACTTACTATACTGAGAAGGTCACACTCCACCATCTCTCTGATGGTGGAGCTAAGAGTTTTACACTCTCCCATTTTGTACCAGGGGACAGTGCAGCTATGTGAGAACCCAGTGACTTTCCCGAGCTTATTTGTCTTGCATTTTTGGTGACATGGATTGTTGTTCACATTGGCTTCCTCTGGCAGGTCCACCTGAAAAGCATTATATTTAGCAAGAAAAACAGGAGGCAGTGAATGATGTCACTGTGGATTGTGTATATTCCCTGTTGCAAATGTCAAATTCGTGAAGCATAAAGGGATTTACTAGGGATATTAAATTCCTTGCAAATTGTTGAAAAGTCTTAAGGAACATGCTCCTGGCAAAGCCTCTAGAACAATTCCAAGAATGGCACTGCTGGTGCAGGCTGGGGAGGAGCTCCTGCTGCCTTAGACTCCACATTCAAGCTGTCTCCTGCAGAAAAGAGAGCAGCTCTTCTCACTACTGCCCCCAGAAGGACAGCCGCTCTGCTATCAACTACTAGAAAACTGACCCCTTTCTCTGCATACCTGCCTGTGTTGATTACATCTTCATGTCAGTCTCACATAGATTCATCTGTTTTCAAGGCTGCAGGGTTTATTTCTGCCCAAGTCCATCCTGTGGCTTTCTATCATAAGTACACATCTTTCTACACTTGAATTTCCAGGCATTACTAGTATCAACCACAACAGGCTACAATCTAACATAAATATTTTCTTTACAAAGAACATCATGCTACCAATGTAGCACTGTGCTCCCCAAAATGTGAGGAATCTCCAATCTGTTCAGCCCAACACCATCCAGGAAAAAATGATCTTCTCTCATGAGCCATTAATCTGTGTACATATTATTTAATATGTGGTCTATATTATAAAGGTGGCTAAAAATAGCACTTTGATTTTTTTAAAGAAAGGGTGTATTGAAAAGACTAAATTATTTAACATACATATATGAATGGCTCATTTCGTTATTGTCACCAGCTTCTTCCGTATTTATTTTATTCTCTAGTTTCTGGCAATAATTTCTCTATGGTAGAGTCTGGAAAGGCTATTCCTCATGTCCTTGGCTTCCTAAGTCCCATAGGTGGTGAAGAATGCCCATCAGATGTGTTACTACAGAGTGCTTTTGGATTGAGATGAGGGAGGGGAAGTGCCTGATCTCACTCAAATGTACTCAATTTCCTGGTCTGGGTCACAGCCAGGCAGCACAGTCTTGTGGGCACAGTATCTTCACTTGCCATGTTTCTATCAAAATGAGAGTATCTTCCTTCACTGTGGAAAACACGGGGTGGGCAGGGTGAGGGAATAGCAAAGGGAGTACTTGGAGATCCCTAAGCTGCCACTGGTTTCTCCAAATGTTTTCAATCCATTTAATTCATGATAATAAACACCTTTCTACCTAACCAGTCATAATCGCTTTTCTCAGATCCAACTGATTCAGTGATAAATCTAAAGAGAAAAAATAAATACACTTTTCCACGTTTAAGCTGACCATGAATGTTTCCACCTCCATATCCCACTATGCGTTTCATCTTCCCTTTGCCTCACTGGCGATCCAAGTGCAAGTAATGCTTCACATGACTGTGATCCCTAGAACTTCTACCTGATGACTGTTGACGTCTTCTCTGAGTTTTACCAGTGGAAATGGCAATAAATAGAAACATTCCAGAAGGTCCCCTAGGGTGCATATTTTCTGTACTTCCTCTCTAAGATATGTAAAATCAATTCCATTTGCTCTTGCTTTATATGAACTAGACCTATGGCCCCAGCAAACAAACTAACACCCTGTGTTGACAACTTATCCAGTATTGTCTTAAGTCTAAATGGTCACATGCTTATATCATTTCTTCCAATTTCTTGGGATAATTGTCATGTCAACTCTTTGGATTAAGAATCATCAACCAGGCCAGGCGTGGTGGCTCATGCCTGTAATCCCAGCACTTTGGGAGGCAGAGGCAGGCAGATCACGAGGTCAAGAGATCAAGACCATTCCTGGCCCACATGTTGAAACCCCGTTTGTAGTAAAAATACAAAAATTAGCTGGGCTACAGGTGGTGTACCCCCTGTAGTCCCAGCTACTCGGGAGGCTGAGGCAGGAGAATAGCTTAAACCTGGGAGGCAGAGGTTACAGTGAAGCCGAGATGGCGCCATTGCACTCCAGCCTGGCAGCAGAGTGAGAGACCGTCTTAAAAAAAAAAAAGAACCATCAACCAGAAAACCACAGCCCTGAGAAAACAGAAATAGAGTATTTCAAGCTGTTCAGTTGGCGTTAACAATGGTAAGTCTACAGCTCATTTTCAAGATATATATATTCTGTTTAAGGGAGTAAAAGCACCCATCACGGTTAATGTTTCAGAGCCTCCACCACTTCTGATCGTATAGTAATTCAACAGCACAAGGGTTTGTGTGACAGCTTTGCTTGACTAATAATAGGTTTTTCCCTGTCTATAGGGAAAGTTGCACCTGTGCACAAGACAAGATCATAAGCTACACTTCGCTCTTCTTTTTTGAGGTAAATAACTTGCTTGATCCAAAGCCATTTTATGGAAGAATTTCCTGATTCTGATGAAAGCACTTGGAAAATCCTCAAATAATATTTTATGCAGAAACATAACCGATAAGAATGGCAAATTCATATATAGGAAAATAACCAGTGCTTTCCTTATGTTACATGAGGTCCACTAGTATCACCTAATACCAGCTGTTAGTCTGAGCCCTGATGTATCATACAATGTTAGGGGTTCTTCTTGACAAATTAGATGTTCAGAAAAGCCGGTAGCCCTGTAGGTCTCAGTTAGTTGAAAGTCATATTATTGAGCCCCCCAGAGACCTCCATAACATTGGTTCATGATACTCCCTGGGAAAGCTGGGAAAGGTGACTGACTGAAGTCCATGTGTTGAATCATCCTCATTATTAAAAGCCCCCTGCTCATTAATGGCATTTTGATTAATACTCACTTGGAAAGCATTTTTTTGGATTGTGGCTCATTTTTGAAACATCTCATCATAGCTCTTCCAGAATGGCTTTGTCTGCAATCATCCTGTTGTGTTTCTTTTAAGACCTGATGATCTGTTAAAACCAAAGGCCAATATTATAAAAATCCTCTTCTCTTTGCAATGGGATCATCAGATGTAACCTTACAGTTTACCCACGGTTAGGATTTTTACATTTCCAGGGCTTCCTTGACAATGGCACTGATGTGACTCCATCCAGCATCTATTGTTGTGAGGACTCTATCTGGCATATCATCATTGTGGGCATGAACATAATGGAGATTTTCACAGGATGCAATGGTTAATATTCAACGTTAGTCAAAATTTCTTCTAGTCCTACCCTTGGAGCTCTACTGGGTTGGAAAAATATTTTCATGTAAGGACAACCATTTGGTAGAGTTTTAAAAATAAAGGCTACCAATAAATTTTCTGTAGCAAGAGTATGAACTATTTGTGGTCCAGAATACAATTTTTTATGGAATGTAACAAAAATTATTTAAATGTATTCAATGTAGATAATAATTTTACAAATAGGCTTATATTGCATATATAATAGAAGAAACACAATTAAACATAAATACTATATATATGTAGCCATTTTAACAAATAAGTATATATTTATTTATACATATCTTACATACATTTATGCATATTTTTCCACAAATAAGGTAAATTTTAATTTTTTATTGAAATATTAGTTTTAATTTTGTCATTAATTTTCTTTTAATAACTTTATAATTTGATTACTAAATATTCACATTTATACCACCAATTTAAGAAAAAATACATGTGTGTATATATAGGTAGAGGTGTAAATAATGTATCAGGGAGCTTTTATGCATAATGATTGGTAACTGGCTAAATACACAACTCAGTGACTGATAACAGTAAATATTTGTTTTCATGTTCATGGATGCTCATGTTCACAATCATCTGGCTGATCAAGGAAGGGCTCAGGTAAGTGGTTTCTCTGCATGGCACTGAGCTTGTCTTCAGCCTATACATATTAATTGTCTTAGGACAAGGCTGAACAGCAGTGACTACCCATGACTCAAGATTCTTCTGGCAGGTCACAAGAGTGAACAACATCCCAAACCAAACTGCACAGCTGAGTTTAAGTCCAATAATTTCTAACATAGCTTCACACATTTTAAATATATTCCTTTATTTCAGTGAGTACAAATTTTTAAGAAAATGTTCACTCCATTTAATTATAGAGGTGTTTGATCATTCCATGGACAAATAACTATGATTTCAACTTACAGTATTGAAAATATTTGCAAATGTAAATTTGCATTAATAAGAAACTGAAGCTGGATGTGTTTTCAACACGTGGCTTTAAATATAATATACTTAAATGGCCTCATGGGAGAAAATTCATTTTAACTTACATAAATATCCCTTTTTGCCTCTCTTTTGTCCTATAGAGTTGCCCAATAAGAGGTCCTTCCATGAGATTTGGAAATCAGAAAAGGATGACTCAATATTCTCCATTGGTACCTAAGACAGACACAGGGACAGGGATGAGGACAGGAGAAACACCTGAAAAGATGCTGTAGGAAGCTGAGAGCATCAGCACCCCCACCCCTAAGCTTCCAGACAGGACTGAGGACCACATGGTTAGATAGCCCATACTTTAGGGGCAGATGGATTCTGTTTTCTGAGGGAGCACCAGAGAATCCTGCTTCTAATGTCAGCTTTCATGACTACTATATCCTTGGCCTTGAAAGGTTGCAGTGTGAACGTTAATGTAGGAATTGGGTCATTCTTGACATACCCAACAGAGCCAAGAAACCAGGAGGGAAAGACACTCAGGGTGTAAAATATTGTCTGAAGAATGCAATTGAAATAGGCCCTATTATCCCATGGAAGTAATGTTTATGGTTTTTTGAATAAACATAGAAATTGACTTCCCCAGTCTTAAAACTCAAGTTAGTTACATTTGTCTTATCTGAGTTCCTTTTTCAGGAAACCCACCAAGAGGCCTCCAGATACTATCAGAGAGCTGAAACTTACATATCACTGAATCAGGACAGTGAGACGTCAGACCCTTCACACATTGTGATTGCCTCACTGACCTTCTGCTTCCTGTTGACAAAATTAACTTCATTACCCCTCCCTAATTCCTGTTTGCCCACATTTCTTCCCTGCTATATAACCCCCTAATTTTAGTTTGTCAGGGAGATACATTTGAGAATGGGGTCCCATTTCCACAGCTGCAGCACCTGATTAAAGCCTGTTTCTTGGCAATACTTGTTGTCTTAGTGATTGGTTTTATATGTGGTGAGCAGCAGGATCTACACCAAATCCCTGGCATTTCAGTAACAAGATTCTCTGCAAGCTTCACTGCTTTGGCCTCTTGTAACCGGAAATCAAATTCAACCCCAACTTCTGAATAATTTAACATAATTCTAGGATTCAGTTTGTCCATCAGTGCTTACCATTCTGAGCTTGCCAGCTCCCAAAATTTTCTGGAGCCAATAAACTTTCTCAAAGAGCAATAGGTAACATTTTCCTTTTTTCATGAAACTCTAAGCTTCTCTTTGTTCTTTCAACATATTGAAGACCATTGAGTTTTTCTGTATGCCCCATTTAGCAAATATTTCTTAGCAAATAAAACATGAAATTTGAGATTCATCTCTATATTTTTATTTAGACTTCCATAGTTTATACTCTATTTCTCTGTATCAAGACAATTCCTGCTTAGAATATCTATAGTGGCTTCTTCTCTGTTACTTGAATTCCAACTGAAGCCATAAACTAGACTCCTCAGGTGTCATGATCCCTGCCTTTTTTAAATCAGGAGAGGAACTGTTATGTCTGTGCACCTGGTGCTGAGAAAGAAAAAGAAATTGGGATGCAGAGGTGACTTCACATCCCCCTCTACCAACACCATCAGAGTGTGCCTGCATCTGAGGAACACTCTCAGCTGATGGAGGAATCAGGAGGAGCAGCTGGGGCAGCCCGGCCTCACATGTCTGCTTCCCTGGGGGTTTATGTTCAGGTTTGTAACACTGTGGGAGGGTAACTATTAAGCTGTTGACAGTAATAAGTTGCAAAATCTTCAGGCTGCAGGCTGCTGATTGTGAGAGTGAATTCTGTCCCAGATCCACTGCCGCTGAACCTTGATGGGACCCCACTTTGCAAAGTGGATGCAGCATAGATCAGGAGCTTAGGGGCTTTCCCTGGTTTTTGCTGATACCAGGCTAAATAACTGCTAATGCCCTGACTGGCCCGGCAAGTGATGGTGACTCTGTCTCCTACAGATGCAGACAGGAAGGATGGAGACTGGGTCAACTGGATGTCACATCTGGCACCTGAGATTGGAAATATAAACACAAATGTCCATAGAATTAATCATGTTGTAAGAGAACTTCCCTCAAGAGCCAGGCTGTACGGAACACACTGGGCTGAGTAAATTCCTAGTGTTCTCCTTCCTTACCTGGGAGCCAGAGCAGCAGGAGCCCCAGGAGCTGAGCGGGGACCCTCATGTCCATGCTGTGTCCTGACTGGGACTGACTCCTGCACAGGTGTGACCAGCCTATTAAGAAGTCTTTAGGGCAGGGGGTGGTGCTCTGGGAACAAGCAAATCGGCAGGGGGTGGGGCAGGCTGGATACAGCTGCGTGGCTGGCTTATCTCAGTAACTCAGCACAGGGGCAGTGTCCCCAGTGTCCCAGGTCAGACCAGGGCACCTAGATTTGCCTGCAGAGAATGTTTCTTCCTAAAGGATATTTTGTTACCAAGTACATTTTTGAGCATTTATTGGCAAATCTCGAAGTGGTTGTGAGAACTAGATGGAATAATATATTTCAATGCCGTATTGGGCATAAGTAGGAGAATATCCTTGTTTGTAGAGAATTCTTAATAAAGTCTTAGAGAGTGGGGCTATCAGGTCTTCAACACACTGTGAAATTGTTCCAGTTGGGAGCGATACTTTGTGACATACATACTACATTTTTGTAAGCATGAAATTGATCTTTTTTTAAGTAAAAAAGAACACTTAGTCATGAGCAAGTAAAATGTTCTCAAAAGCATTTTGTAATGGCCCTAAACCAATGTTATTACCAGTCTAAGCTGAAGAGGTTTACTGCAGATTGACAAAGAAGATGATATTGGGATTCCTTAAAGCATATGACATCCACAGTTCCTGCATTGTCCAGAGCTATAAGTCTCTTTAATGCTCGAGTTTTAATGGGATTCATTTTATTCTCTGCTTGGGGACCCCCATATTCTACCCCCTTTTCTGTCATTGTGAATTATTTCCCATGGTCCATCAGCATAAAAGTCTGACTAGCAATGCTAAATCTGATTACTTTAAAACAATTTTTTTTCTTCTTCTACTACAGGAGCCTTGATTAGCATAAACTTGAATCTTTGTGTTAGTTTGCTTAGGATAATGGCCTCCAGCACCATCCACAGTGTTGCAAAAGACATGATCTCATTTTTCATAGCTGTATATTAAGTATTCCATGTTGCATATGTACCACATTTTCTTTATCCAATCTACAACTGATGGGCATTTAGGTTGCTTCCACGTCTTTGCTATTAGGAATAGTGCAGTGATGAACATACACATGCATGTGTCTTTATGGTAAAATGATTTATATTCCTTAGAGTATATATCCAATAAAGAGATTGCTGGGTCAAATGATATTTCTGTTTTAAGTTCTTTGCAAAATTGCCAAACTGCTTTTTATAATGGCTGAACTGATTTATATTCCCACCAGCAGTGTATAAGCATTCTCTTTTCTCCATAAACTCACTAGCATCTGTCATTTTTAAGTTTTTAATAATGGCCATTTTAACTGGTGTAAGATGGTATCTCACTGTGGTTTTGATTTGCATTTTTTTAATAATTAGTGATTTTGAGCACTTTTTCATACGCTTTTTGGCCGTTAATATGCTTTTTTGAAAAGTGTTTGGTCATATACTTTGTCCACTTTTTAAAATAGTTTTTTTTTGCTTGTTAATTTGCTTAAGTTAGTTGGAGGTTTTTTAAGGAAAAAACCAGAATAAGAGAAAAAGAGGAAAATATAATACCACAGAAAACACAGACTGTGGTAAGTATTGCCTCATGGATATATATGTGTGTGTGTGTGTGTGTGTGTGTGTGCATATATATATATATATTTATGATACATGCTGTGTTTATGTGTATAATGATGATCCAGAAACTAAAGGGTGACTGGTTTAAGGACTGCCTATGTTGCACTGAGGCTTCCTTCTTTTCAAATTATGAACTAAAGGGTACAGCAGTACTTGCATGACTCTCAAAAATTCTAGCAGCATGAGATAGAGGTAGAGGAGATTTACTGAGATAGATGCATTGGAAGCTGTAGAAGCTCGTCCTGTGCTGTTGTGGATGTTGTGATTGTAGTAGTTGTTGTTAGTACAGTGGGAGTAAAAGCAGCTTGAAGATTTACAAGCTCTTCTCTTCCTCATACTTACAACTCCCTCTAGAGATGCATCAGTGATTGTACAGGCATCTCTGACACCTCTGGAGAAATCTTGTTAGCTCAATCCAGAATCTTACCTGAGAAATGTTTTGAGTCTCAAATTATGTGAAACTAGGGTGTAGAAAAAGGACTAGAGCAAGGGAAAATAATGTTCATGCCTGCACAGTGGTTGTAGACAGGTAAATGGGGGGCTTTATAAGTGTGATGATGTGCCAAACCTCTGTCACCACGGGGAGAGAAGCATCAAACCAGGATCACTTCTGGAAGAATCATTAGGTTATTTTAGATGGAAGGAACTGTGAATTCCTTGCCAAATAGATTTTTAAAATTCAAAGCTACTCATTACGTGTTAATATTATTTAACTTCTTTAAATATACCATGTGGTAGAGGGCACATCCACTATTTCAATTCAGGGTTTGTATGCCTATGTGAATTACACCATTAAAAACACAGCAAATTCCATATTGGTTGGGGAAGAATGTTTGAACAGTAATCAATTTCGTGAAGAAGAGGTTTATGTCACAGCACTTTCCACAGTATTACATACAAAAACAGTGAATGATCTCATATCCACAAGAACCAGCATTTCTCATGTGCCACATATGCCCTCCCAGAAAGAATTGAAGCCTGTGACAAGTTGATGAAAGGGGTAGAAAAAAGAATAAAACCCCAAAACACAGCACTATAAATGGAAAGGGGAAAATCATTGCAGAGCCTATGATTATAAAAATACAAAAGGTGGATATTCTGAGTATTTTTATGGCAACTAGCTTGACAGAAGTAACAATAACTTTGTATTATAAATTTACCCAGAACGAAATTTCCAATTTTATATCTGCCTGACTGGTGTCTTGATACCTTATCAAAATTACACAAATTTTCAAGAGATTCAAAAAGAATAAATACTCCCAAACTTATCATATGAGATCACCATATACTCCAGTCCAAAAACAAACAAGGACGTAACAAACGGAGAAATTAAATGCTGGTATCTCTTGTGAACATAAACACAAATATTCTGAAAAATAGGGAAAGAAGGAAAATATAATCATTTTTATACCTATATGTTTGTGAACACACATGGTTAAGTGTATTACAGTTTTTATGCTAAGAACACTTGATATGTAATTACAAGTTCTAAAAAATTGATATGAAACGGAAGATGTGACAGTTCCATTTTCCTAACTTTTAAAAGAATATTTCATCTTATTTAAATATTATTTTTATTTTTGTATGACTTTTTGTTTTGCTTAGACTTTTAGTTGAAATGAATAATGAATGTGTATTAAAAGCCTACCATTTTGATTTAATCTATGAAGGGTATTTAAATTCTCATTCTATAGAAGAAAAATCCAAACTCCTTAGAAAAGAGAGATCTTGCCAAGAGCTACACAGTTCTTGTTTCGGAGCTGAGATTTTCTCTCAGATATTCTGGCTCATACAATTTTCAGTACACTACAGATAGAAGATGCAAAGACAACATTACCCAATTGGTCTTGCACTTACTTTGTTCACTGTTAACTAAGTTTACTGAAAAAAAATTACAATAAAATACACTGTCAAAGAACTGTCACAAATAAATACATCTGCAGAACCACCTCCAAAATCCAGACATAGAACATTTCTATAACTCCCAAAAGTTTTGACCTACTCTTTTGGAATCCACTTGCTTTCCACCACACAGATCAGGGAATTCTTGATCTGCTTATTGTCAGTGCAGATTCCAATTTCTTTTTAAGGGTTTCATATAAATGAAATATAGCATGTGCTCTTTTGCATCTGGTGAATTTTGTGCAGCATAACTGCTTCTCAGATTCATTGAGATGTCATGTGTTCCAGTTATGTGCTCCTTTTTATTTTTGAGTGTTATTTAACTGTTTGGTAATTTTATAATGGATCCTTTCACCTGTTGATTGCCATGTAAGTTGTTTCCACTTTGGGCTATTACGGATAAAGCTGCTATGAATGTTCTTGAACAAGACTTTGTATGAACATATCTCTTTATTTCTTTTGGGCTAATTCCTAGGCGTGTAGTTGCTGGGTCTTACAGTAAGTGTTTAATACTCTGTTCAACTTTTTCCAAAGTGGCTGAAACATTTTACATGTCCACCAATAACTTATTATAGCTCCACACCCTCCAACTGCTGTTTTGATTTTTTTTTTAAGATTTCACCTAATTGTCACTCAACAGTAACCAGAATAGCTAGTGATTATTAAGCTATGTTTTTCTGACTATTTTCTTGTCAATTTTGGTGGTTGATGTGTTTCAGGATATTGAGAATAGAATCAATGCCATCCAAGCTCCTTTTCAAATAATTTTATCAAGCCATAATATTTAAGATGGTAACAAGGTATATACAAGGTGTGTTGGGAGTAGTAATAAGTGTTTTCAACATTTATTATTATCGTACTCCATAAGGCAATATGTCTTCAATGAAATAGTGTTTAACTAGACTTAGGATAGAAAGGTTCTCATCTCAACCCTAGTATTCAATATTAGGAAAAGTTTAAGGAAAAAAAAAAACATCCAGGAAAATAAGTCAGAGAGTGTTTTGCTAGTCAAGAAAAACTGCAACACTGATGCTCTTTTAATGCCAGACCTTCACAATAATTTCCACTCAGATCATTTGGTGGCCTCCTTGCCTTGTTCTCCTTATGGGACTTCATTCTGAGGGCATGTGACATCACAGAGGGAGCAGTGCACTTGGGTACAGAAATATGGCTTAGGGGATTGTCTGGCCTTAGAGGTGGCTGCAATGGAATATACATTTTCAAGGAAGTTCCCTGTTAAAGCTGATAAATTGTTAGTTAAGGCAAGGTGCAGGGGCTTATGCCCGTTATCCTAGATGTTTGCAAAGTCAAGGATGGAGGACAGCTGAAAGCCAGGAGTCCAAGACCAGCCTCGAAAAAATAAGGAGATCCCCCTGTCTGTAGAAAAAAAAGAATGTTTGGTAAGATGTGGTGTGAACAATGACATCTATAAGAGATTATTTATTAACATTTGCTCAGAAAACTAGAAAATAGAATGATGTCTTATAATCCATCAATATCATAATAAAAATGCTAAGTTTTTCAACTATGGTAAATATAGAGAACATAACATTGCCCATCTTAGCCATTTTTAAGTGTACAGGGCAATGGCATTAAGTAAGTCACATTGTTGTGCTATCATCAATAATAGCAATCTCCAGAACTCTTTCCATCTTCTAAAACTGAAACTCTATTTCAATTAAATGACAACCCTCTCCCCATTTCCCCTGCTTCAAGTTCCTGGCAACCTCCATTCAAGTTCTGTCTCTATGACAGTGACTACTCTGAAGCAGGTTCACTGTGCCCTGGTTACCAACTTATCAGAGTCCAGGGAGACAGAACAATCATACACAACAAGTTACAAGAATCTGGTGTAGTATTTATAGGTGGCCAACAAGGGACTGCAGAAGCCTAGGATGTATTGTGGGTCTGTCCCCTGAGGCACAGGCATGTGGGTCTGATGGAATCTTGACTGTGTGTACCCCAGTTGGACCACAACTCAGCAACCCCAGAAAGAAGATGCTCTGGGTTTTTAATCCTGGTGTCACAGGACACATGGAGCTAAAGTACTGGAGGACTAAAGTACTGGAGGACAGTACTAGGAGAAGCTGGAACAGGGGCAGGCTCTTCTGACCAGTCTCTCCCTATTTCAGAATGTTACATTTCCAGCACATTCTACAGTTGTTCTTGAGAAGTGTAAGAAAGAGAGTGGGGAGAACTAACTGAGTCGAGAACCATTAGAGGACTGTACTGGAGTCACCCCCAACCCAAACACCCCCGTTAGAAAGCCATTCCATTTTATATGCCTACTAATAACCCTGAACTGGTGGCAGAGGTGTGTCTTGTTTGACTGATGAAGCCCCTCGACGAACACAATGTCAAAGCAACATCATAGAGCCAGAGCCAGAATAGATTTCACTGGGCCAATGAAAACTACTACCAGAGGCAGGATGATCAGGCCCACCTGAAGCAGTTATGTAGCCCAGGATCCAATGATCCACAGAAGAAGTTGCTAAAGGGGTGAAAGAAGAATCCTTCAGGTGGGACCATTTTCTTCAATTACGAGCCTGTTTCCAGATCTCCTCTCTTGAATTTCTAGGATACCTGAGGTGTTTGTCCAGGTACAACAGAAAGTGTTGGAAATTGTATACAATCCTCCCAGTTGGGATTTTAAAAAAGTCTAGAGCAACACTGTTATCTAAAACATCCATCCCGATGGAGTTAAGGGATGTCTGCTGGGCTACCAAGGCAGTGGCTATGGAGGAGGAGCCATATCTGCCATGGTCAGGGACACATTTCTTATCATTTCTCTTTTTTACATGAGCACTGACTCCTATACATAGTACCAAAAATATCACAAAAGACATAAACCCATAGTCTGTTATACCTTCTGGCAGGTCCCTAGTAAGTCTGAGGTACAGCTTTGGGCTGCAGGCTCAATGGTTCACCTAATTCCAAGGAGTAATATCCAGAGACAAGCCCAGCATGCCCAACATGCAGAATCTCACCATCCCACAGTTATCCAGAGATGGCATCACACATCCTGCATTTTGTTCACTCCCAGACCATTCACAGAGAAATATGTAGCCCTTGGGTGCATACAGCCCCCTTTCTCCCATTTTATTGTTTAATCACCCAGTCATGGTTATGCAGGTATTGGTGTGTTCATTAGCCAAGTCTCACTGATGGCAGAGTTGAAGGAGCAAAGTTTTGCTCAGACAATATTGTTCATAGACAGAGGGTAGCATTAGTCCTCTCCTTGTTTTTGTCTTTGCCATTGGGGCATTTCTTATCTATGCAATCAAAGAAATATGGTACATCAAAATATCAGTCCACCAATGTTTTTTTTAGTTGTGGTCATGACATTTGCCACAGAGTCAATTTAGTTAAATGGGGGGCCTCCAGTTTTCTCCCATGTGGTAGGTATCACATCCTCAGTTGGTAGGCCAGTGCCCGGGTCCTGTTGATGTACACCATGATATCAGTAATGTTGGTGTCATTTGCCTTCAGTAGAATGAAAGGAAACCTCTAGTTAGTGACAGAACGAGGTCAAGAATGGCAGATTCAGTATTTTGAAAGATTACACTCGGTGACTTGCAAGAAGCTAACAAAGATGTTATGCTTCTAGGCCTTTGCTGCCTCATTCTTGCCAAAATGCAGTGTGACAGGTTAGTGCATCATCTCTCACCCATCCCAGGGTCTCAGGTGTCTCCTACCCATCTACAAGGGTTAGGCTGTGTTGGTGTAAGAATGCGGCCTGGCTGTCCTTGCTCTGTGAAAAATCCATTGCCTTTGTCACTTGACCCAGACATTTCAGTCCTGATTGTCCACTGCAGGAAGGGAGATTATGCCCTGTAAAAACTTGACATATTTCATAATATCACCAATACTAAAGGAAGGATAAGATGGCCCTGGCACCAGAAGAGGGCCCCTAGCTCCCTGATATTTCTTAGTCTTGTCATCCATCCTGTGGGATCTTGTAGAAAAGAGGCATTTAGAGGAAACATAATCCCCATATTAGAGTTAGGGGGCCTGTCTGGGGTAAGATGATGGCCTGAATTGAAAATCACCCCAGGGCATGCATTCTAAAGGAAAAAAAGAAAAAGAATGGTTAGGAACACTGAAATAGCTTTCACAGGTCCAGACTAATAAAGGGTCTGCCTGGTCTACCTTCGTTTCCACTCAGCATTATGTTCCTTAACATTCATTATTTCCCTTGTTCTGGAGTGCGATATTTAATGCCCATATTGCTCTAGTAAGATGGGGTACCACCCCATTAGCAGACTTTCTAGATGTCCTTTCTAGATGTTGCTGTGTGAGTCCATTGTTCTAGCATTCACTAGATTCATTGGCCTGTGGATGCAGGGTGCATGGAAAGTTCATCGTGTTCCATGAGAGTGTGCCTATTGTCATGTTGCTTGGGCAGTGAAAGATGCTCCTTGGTCAGTGTGAAGTGTCATTGGGTATCCAAAAATATGATGTAAGTTCCTTTCAAGGGTGACCTTGGTAGTCCCGGCATCCAATTGAGCATCGTATCTCTTTTTCCTGCAGGTGGAAAGCTGTGGCCATAGTCCTTTCCTCCACACCAGGGATTCTTTAAAAGTCCAGTCTCTCAGTTGCCATTTTCCTGAACAGATGTTGAGGCTGTTGGCAATGGCCCATGATTTAGTGGGAATGTGGCATGGTACGATGTTGGAACAGCCTGCATGGCCATTACCACTGAATGTAGTTTGACCCACTGGGTTGAAATCCCATGCTAAGTTTCAGTTAAAAAAGTGGCCATCCATTGGCTGAATGGTGGCCACACCTGGTGGACCTGTCAGTTTGCGTTTTCCTCAGCCATCAGTGACTCCTGCTATATGGAAATCTCTGAATCTTGGGCTCGACATGGGTAAATGAAAATCCAAATTATCACCTACAAGTCATTTGGTCCCTTCAACAACCTCTCCATTTGTTCATGGAGCCACAGATCCTGTGGGGTCCTGACTAAGCCTGATCAAGAATGTGCCATTTCCATTTGATAACCTGACTCTGTTGAGATTGTTACTGCCTTGAAAGCCAGGCAGGCGCTTCTCAACTCTGTGATTCTTCCCAGGAAATACGTGAGAACTTCCATCTGGGTTCATATCTCAAACACAACCCACCAGTCTCTCACTTGCTGCCCTCTGCTCAAAATCTTCACATTGTAATTTTTCATGGGGTAAAAAGTTAGCTTATATATTATCTTGTATTCATTCAAATTCTGTTTAAATAACATACATATGTTCCTTTATTCTTTCGAACTTTGTCCTTATTTTTGAAACCCAGCTTTGGAGTTCAGAAAGCTACTTTTGTACTTCAATATGCTGTGAGTGAGACTGTGCAAACACTTTAGCAACTAGGTCTTTATTTTTGCATACATTTGCCACAACATATCTAGTAATTAAAAAATCTAGACTGTGAAGAGTTTTATTTGGCTTCTCCCTGAAAAAAGTAGGATAAAATACAGTGCTTGCTGCTGTTCTGGTCAAGGGTCGGCCTTACAAAAAGTGGAGGGGGGAGGTGGAGGAGGGGAGGGAAACTGATTTAATATCACCAGATCTTATCAATGTACATGTACTCTGGTAACTGCTAAACCAAATCAAAAGAATGTGTTAGTTTTGTGTTGCCAGTAATCAGTCTCAATTAGGTGCCTGTTATGCAGAATGAATTTAGTTGATGAATGAACATAGGGAAGGAAGAGAGGATTAGAATGAGCTCTCATTGAGCCTTCTCTTCTCTTGTGTCTCATTGCTCAGAGGGCACGTGGACCTCCTCCATACTGCAGACTCTGTCATGCAAAGGCTGCTGCAGCTGACGGGACCTTAAAATGTGGTGCCTGAGGTGTAGCCAAGAAATTTATGGTCATGAGCCCTCAGCTGCACCAAGTCCTCTGAGTTCTCCAACATCTTGGTCTTTAGGCATCTAAGAGAATCCACAGTGCCTGCTCTCCACAGAAACAGCACATCTGGGCAGCTAGGCCACAGCAAGTGGGGGGGTTTGTGTTCAAGACTATACCATTGTGGGAGGATAATGTGTACTTTGCTGGCAGCAATAAACCCCAACATCCTCAGCATCCATCCTCCTGATTTCAGCATGAAATCTGTCCCCAACCCACTGCCACTGAACCTGTCTGGGACTCCAGGGTCGTGATTGGAAACCAAATAGATTGGGAGCCAAGGAGGCTGGCCTGTCTTCTGTAGGTACCAGTTGAAATAGATGTATCCATTACTGTGAAGGGGGCTGTGACTAGACCTGCAGGAGATGGAGGCTGGCTCTCCAGGGGTGATGGGCAGGGAGAGTGGAGGTTGGGTCATCACAGCATCTCCATTGGATCATGAAATAATGAGAGAGAAGTGCAAGGTTATGTGCAAACATTGTGAGTCATTTTAATCATTTTCTGTCTGTTATTTATGTTTTGCTCAATTATTTTTGTGTGTGTGATTTTGATTAATCCTCCCAAAACATACAGATTTAAAAAGAACCAATATTTACATATCCTTGCTCCTTCTGGAATCTTCCTCACTCTCACAGATCTAGACATCACATGCCCCATCCTGGAGGACAAGACACATCTAACACGAGGACAGGACACACATGGGAGGTGGCGGGGTCCACAGAGTTCACCCTCCCACCCCATCATCCTCCCTCATTTCCCTTCTGCCCTTACCAGGGACCCAGAGCATTAGCAGCCCCAGGAGCTGAGCAGGGAGCCTCACTGTGAGAAGGTGAACTGAGGAGTCCTGATCAGTCAAGGCAAGGTTAGAGTGAGCTTTCGTCTCAGACTCACAAGGAAAGTCCTCCCTAGGGGACAGTATGCAAATCCCCTGGTGGGTGCAGTGGGGTGGAAAGAGCCAAGGAGAAGGTGGGGGCGTCTCTTGTGAGCAAAATGACATAAATATATTTTATGTTTTTAAGGAAATCAATAGAGGTAAAATCTGTGTTGCCTGAGTGGCAGAAGGGACGTATTTAGATTTTCCTGCTGTTTCCTCTACTAGACTTCTAGTTCTTTAGGACTTTCTCGGGCATGTTTTATGTTTCTTTTTAATAAGCTTGATCTTTCATAAATATTTGATGATTCTTATTTCTTTGTTTAGGTTTATTTAAAAGAGTCTAGGTTTGTTTATTTTATTTTATTTTATTTTATTTTATTTTATTTTATTTTATCTAAGGTAAAACACACAGTGCAAAGGGTGCAACTCTTAAGGGTGCAAATGAATGTCAAGATCCAGATCATTTCATATCATGATCCACATAGAAACGCAGAAGGTTTCCAATTCTCTCGCTGCTTTCATTATGCACCTTCCCAGTCAAAAACTGCTGCTCAAAACACAATCAATGTAAATGATATTCTGACATATAATTGTTTTAGTCCTGGACTTAATCTTTATATCAGGTAAAGTAAACATTTTTTGTAGCTTCTTTCTAACTTTTTTCATTTTTTGAGGCCTTGGTTCCTTCTTGTCAATTTGAGTTGCTGTCTGCTGTCATTCTCTGTTATTCTGAAGAATTTTCTCTTGAATCTCTTACAAGGCATATATGCTATTAATGAATTAATCTTTGTGTATGAAGGAATATTTCTACCTTGCTTTTATATTTAAACGATTGTTTTTCTGGATATAGAATTTGTGGCTGAGAATTTGTGGCTCAGTATTTAAAAATATCATTCCACTGTCTTCTCACCTCCATTTGTAATGGTGAAAATTTAGCCAATGATTTTAATATTGCTTCTTAGTATAAAGTAAGTCGGTATTTTAGTGATGCATTTCAAATTCTCTGGGTCTTTGTCTTTCAACACTGGTACTATAATGTGTATAGTTATGAATTGTACTGTGCTTATCCTAAAAGGGTTTCACTGAGTTTCTTTCATGTATAGATTAAGGTGTCTCATCACTGTAAAAAATGTTTTTCATTATTTCTCCATTTTTTTCTTTTTCAATTTTTATTTTAAAATCAGAGCATACATGTACAGATATGTTACAAAGTTATTTTGCATGATGCTGGGATTTGGGGTATGACTGAACTTATTAAACAGGTAGTGAGCACTGTACCCCATAGGTATTTTTTCAGCCTCTGCCCTTCCTCCCTTTGTCTCCCCTCTAGTAGTTCCCAGTGTCTATTGTGCCCATCAACCGTGGATTGGATAAAAAAAAAAACTGTGTATAGATACACCATGGAATCCTATGCAGCCATAAATAAGAAGAAAATCATGGTCCTGCAGAAACTTGGATGCAGCTGGAGGTCATTTACCTAAGTGAACTAATGCAGAAACAAAAAACCAAATACCACGTGTTCTCACTTATAAGCGGGAGCTAAACATGGGGTACACATGGGCGTAAAGATGAGAACACAGTTTTTAGCCTCTTCCTGTCTTCTCCTTTGTGATTCCTAATACAAATTTGTTGGTATTGTTCACAGGGACCTATAATGTCTGAGGTTTTATTCATTCTTCTTTATAATTTTTCCCTTCTTTATATGAGGTCATTTCTATTGACTTCTTTTTCAGATCACTGACTCTCGCGTCATGTTAAATTGCTGTTGAGTCTATCTAATACATTTTTCAATTGAGTTGTACCTTTCATTTTTCGGATTCCCAGTAGGTCTGTTTTCATAGTTTTGTCTCTGTTTGAGAGCCTCTATTTGTTGAATCATTGTCTTTACAAATTCCTTTTTAAGTCTTTTATTATAGGTTAAAATAATTATTTGAACATATATTTGATAAGGGTGGAGCACACAGACACCATGGAGATGGACCATAAGGCAGGGAGCTCAGAATTGGATTAGTTGAATTTGGAGTCTCTGACTAGATGGTGCTCTTGTGAGATTTAATTATTTTCCATGTTTCATGTTTCTCACAATACAAATAGCTTTTATTTTTTAAGATGGTAACTATGAACAGAAATTCAGCTTATAAATTCCTGGGAATTCCTAATAGGAAAATTGATGAAAAAATGGTTTTTCTTAGGCCCCCACACCTGCCTCTGCCTGGGACCTGACTTTGTCTCTGAGCCGGCGGAATCTATGATGAGGTTTTGAGTTGGGCAGTGAAATCATGGCAGGGCAGGCTGTGCTCTGGGTGCTGTGGAGGACAAGGGGACACTCCTGCAGGGTTAGTGATGCTGGGAGTTCAAGGGGAGACTCAGCATGGAGCTGCCTGTTGAGTCACCCCAGCAATCCTGTCTGGACAGTGATCATCTCACAAGTGTACTTGGATGCCAGTGGATGGCCCAAATGTGGGTTCAGGTTGGACAAGGACAAAGCTTTAGGGATGAACATATGGGGCTCATTTGATAGTCTGAAGTTTCAGCACAAGCGTAATGAATCATATGGGAAAAGAAAGGAGTCACAAGGTTGTGACTTTTCATTTGATATTAAAATATATTCCCTCTGCTCATTTTTCCCTACAGAATGTAACTACTGTTACATATTTAACCAAAGTCATTGTTTTTAATTTTCATTTTAGTAACTGACAGCCTGTGTGCAGAGTTCCTAAATAACTGGAAAGCCAGGCCGTCATTCCTATGGCTGAAGCCAGGAAGTGACTGTGGATATGAAGAAATGTGAGTTTCATGTACATGTCTCTAAAGCCACGGGCCACTGATCTGGTGGGAACCTGCAGTCATTTCACTTTCTCATACCCAGATGAGAGGACACCTTGATCTGTGTTCATCTGATGATCTGATGAACTCTAAAAACTGGACCATATTCTGAAGGTCTAGTTCACACTTCTTTTCTGTGCTAGAGGGACTCTACTCACATGTATTGTACACTCTGCATAGGACAGTCTGTGATACATACAAGTTTTTTTCTGCTAAATACTCATCAATCTTGTCATTTATGCATCTTCTATAGTTGTTACCTGACCTATGGCTATGGGGTCTTCCAAAAGAATGGGCCAGAGGTGGAGCTGTGAAACTGTAGCTGAATAAGAAGTGTAAGTGTCAAGATAGGGTAAAGAAGTGTTGATAATAATAATATTTCAAATTAGTCTGGGCTCTTGGCTGTGATTACTGGTAAGTGGGAAAGAGTCTAGGTTTGTTTTTTTTAAGTTTTATTTTAATTGATAAAGTAGCCAGGGTAAAGTGCACAAATCTTCAATGTGCAACTGAATAAAGTTTATGTGTAATTCATTGTCCAGGTGGAATGATAGAATATTTCACATACTCTTGTGCTTCCCTCATGGACAATCTTTGTCAGTTTTCGCCCCTCCCACCCAGCCATAGTAACTGTTATTCTGACATCTAACACAATCACTTAGGTTTTCCTGTCTTGAACTTCACATAAATAGCATTAAGTGTATTTTTCTCTTTTTAGCCTTGGTATTGCTCCTTACAATGTTTGAGGCCTTCATTTCTTCCAGTGGACTCAAGGTCCTGTCTGATGTCATTTCCTGGGATTCTGAAGGATTTTCTCTCAAATGTCTTATAAGACATAGCTGCTATGAATGAATGTACTTTTTTATCAAAGAAAATTTTTTTTTGCTTTTTCTTTAGATGTGAAGGTATTTTCACTGGATATAGAATTCCTAGTGACTTTTTTCTCCTTTCAGCATCTAAGTATGTCATTTCACTGCTTCTAATCTCTATTGGTCCTAATGAAAACTTAGCCAATAACAATATGTTGTTTCTGTGTATTGGTTGGGAGATGATGTTTGACAGTGATCAGTTTGTGAAGCAGAGGCTTGTGTCACAATACTTTCCACAGTACTACATTTAAAAATGGCGAATGGCCTTTCATTCTTGATGCAGTGAAGATTTTCTGTCTTTCAACATTTTAATATAATGTGTTCAGTTATTAATTTCTATTATCTAAAAGGGTTTTATTGAATTTTTTCATCTAAGAATATTTTTTATTACTTTTGAAAAGTTTTTGTCATTATTTCTCCAAGGATTTTTTTTTCAGCCACTTTCTCTGTCTCTCCTCCTTTGTGACTCTCATTATACTTTTGTTGGTATCCTTCACTCTGAGCTATAAATCTCTGACGTCTTCCTCCTTTTTTTTAAACATTTTATTTAGACTCAATAAGTTCTATTCCTTTATTTTCAAGTTAACTGATTATTCTGCCATCTCAAATTGCTATTAGACCTAGCTAATACGTATTTAAATTGGATTATTTTACTTTTCATTTCTAGAGTTCCAATTTGGTCATTTTTTATATTTTCCATATCTTTTCTTGAGGCCCTACTTGCCAAATCTTCTTAATATTTTCTTTTTTATGTCAATGATCATAGTTTTAAAAATAATTATTTGAAAATCTTTGTAGTCTTTACTAAATCCGATAATTACGGCAAGTTAGAATCAGCTTTCGTTGACTATTTTCTGTTGTCATTATTGTAGTTGCTTTATTTTTGTTCCTTTAATATTGGTCATTCTTCTAGTTTTTTTCCCAGGAGCTGTTAAACTGACAATTTTACATTTTTGATAATACAGTACCTCTCTTTAGATTATGGGTTTTTTAATTTTAATTTTAATTTTTTAGAAATAGGGTCTTACTCTTTCACCCAGGCTGGAGTATGGTGGTGTGATCATAGCTTGCTGCAGCCTCAACCTCTTGGGGTCCAGTGGTTCTCCAGCTTCATCCACCTGAGTAGCTGGGACTATAGGGGCATGCCATTACTCTCTGCTATTTTTTTTTTTTTAAATAGTAAGATATTTTGCCCACCCAGCCTGGTCTCGAACTCCTGGCATCCAGTGATCCTTCTGCCTCAGCCTCCCAAAGTACTGGGATTACAGGCTTGAGCCACCACGTCAGGCCTGGAATTTGTTTTGTTTTTCTGATCATTTTTTAATTTTCTTCTTAGTTACTTGGGTGAACTTACTGATAGTACCTGACTTATGATGCTTGGAGTTATAACTTTTTGACTTTCAGATGGTATGAATGTGATATGCATTCAAGTAGAAATAGAAATTCTAGTATTTATACAACTATTCTATTTTCTCTTTCAATATAGTATTCAATAAATGACATGAGGCATTCAACACTTTATTGGAAGATAAGCTTTGTGTAAGATAATGTCGCCCAAGTGTAAGCTAATGTAAGTGTTTTCAGCACATTTAGGATAGGATAGGCTGAGCTATAATGTTAAGTGGATTAGATGTATTAAATGCATGTTCATTGCATGATATTGAAAAATCTATCTCACGTGGTGTTTGACCACTGATATCACTGCTTCCTTTTATTCTTAATATTAATATTTAGTTTGAATTTATAGGAACTGCACATGTATCTGCATAGTGAAGTGGTCACCAATGATTTGAGACGTTTTGCTTAAATATCTAGAGGTTATAAATCTATCTTCTGTCAACCCATCTGTGTGTAGTTTAAAAAGCAAACTGCATGCAAAATGCAGCTAGTTCTTGAATCCTTCTGGTTTTACTTTGCACCGGAAACTCCTTGTTCTCATCACTCATATCTATATCTTCTAGGTCACTAGGAATGTGTGCAGAGATTATTTCAGCAATATGGGTCTATCTCATCCAGGAATCTGCTATTTACTATCAGCAGATGTACTACTTGCCTCAAACAGGTCATCATCTTGGACTTGTAAAGCTGTGAGATTTTTCTGTTCATTTCCTATGGAGTTCTGCATGTTTAGCTGGAAACACTGAATAATTTTTTTTCCACTCCTTGGCTTTACTCAAGTCCACCCACTTTGGCAGCAAGCTGCTAGTTTTTTTTGCTACGCTCATATTGGTAAAACTTCAGTTCTGTAATTCATGCTGATTGAGCTGGGGGTAGAAGGCTGCTGTCACAGGCAAAAGGCTACAGACATTTTCTGTCCTTACTCAAAGCACTGGTACTTTTTTTTTCTATAAAGAATATGCATCCTTAATTATTTTATACTTCACCAATTTTCAGAGTGCTGAAATAGTTTTGATACTTCAGCTTTATATTTAAATGTGTGTTTGTTGTTTATTTTTGCACCGAAGATTTATTAAACTCTTTGTGATGCCATAAACAGAGATGCCTTCTAAAATGCATTTAGTTGAACATAATAGCCACGGTGAAATGGTACGATGCAATGGACTAACATAAGTAATTTTGGACTTGACAACTTGAACTCCAAAATGGCCAAATAGAGCTGAGATGCTAACACTGAGTGGCCACCCCACTAGCTGTCTGTAAAGGAAGCAGCTGGTATAATAATCTAGTAAACACTGATGGTCTTGTTGGGGTTTTTGTTTCATGTGGAATCACTGTGGGAGGCCAGTTGCTACGCTGCTGACAGTAATAAACTGCAAAATCTTCAGGCTCTAGGCTGCTGATGGTGAGAGTGAAGTCTGTCCCAGACCCACTGCCACTGAACCTGGCTGGGATGCCAGTGGCCCTGTTGGATGCATCATAGATGAGGAGCCTGGGAGCCTGGCCAGGTTTCTGTTGGTACCAGGCTAAGTAGCTGCTAACACTCTGACTGGCCCTGCAGGAGAGGGTGGCTCTTTCCCCTGGAGACAAAGACAGGGTGGCTGGAGACTGTGTCAACACAATTTCTCCGGTGGTATCTGAAATTGGAAATAAAACAGAAATGCACTCATGTAATCAAGATCAAACCAACTGTCTTTGAGTAGAGCCAAAATTGTTGATATACTTTGAATTTTAATTATATTTCTTGCTGAGCAGAGGTGGCAAGAGTTTTCACTAATGTGCAAAACCACCTCATGTTCCCCTCACCTGGGAGCCAGAGTAGCAGGAGGAAGAGAAGCTGAGCTGGGGCTTCCATGGTTCCCTCTGGGTCCTAACTGAGCAGTTCCTCCCCAGGGCTCTGACACAGGCATTGATATGGGCTCTGGAAGGTAGGGCAGCTGGGAGGGACATGCAAAGCAGCTGGGTGGGAGCTGAGCTTCCAGCTGCAGAGACCACCTGCTTCTTCCTCTCTGCACTGAGCATCCTGCGCCACCCTGGTTGTCAGGCCAGAAAAGTCTGTTGGCTCAGTCTGAGTGTAGAACTTCTCCCTTGTGCTCAGAGAATTTCATTCCTATGTCTTTCTTCTCCTCAATCACCTAAATTCACCCAGATGATGTTTGGCACAAGCCTGTTAAGAACAATATAAAAGGCTGTGTTTTCATTTCTCTCTTCCTATCCTCAATATGCCCAGTCATCTCCCTAAGTGCATTATTGGATCGATGGAAATGAGGAGTCTGTTAGAACTTAATCTTCCAGATACACCTTTCATTTGCTTGTTAGTAATGTTTTCTGAGGGTCCTGAAACTTTCCATTAACCCAGACACATACCCTCTTTGAGTTAAAAAGTTAAAACTTCTGTTTACAGTCACATGTCCTGGCAGCCCTGACATAGATGCTCCATGGCTTGCCGATTGCTTGAAATTGACCAACTAACTTAACTTCCCTGTGTCTCAGTTTCCATATCTGTGTAACTGTGACAATACTGGTGCCTACCTTACAGTGCTGTAGACAGTTTAAAGAAAATAAGATAAAACATTTACAGTAGTACTCAGGACATTATGTATGCGGCAATTATTTTTGTTTTTATTGATTAAATATTTAGCACTACAGTCATCATCATTATCATAAATATACTTACTTGGCACAGAAAAGAGTCTTCAATCTAATCCAAGAATGTTTTATCAACAGTCAAATTAAATTCTAGGGCTTTTTCTTCACTAACTGTACACAACTCTTAAAATCCTAATGATTTGGTCTTAATCTGTGCTAAAATGCTCAGACCTTCAATCATTCCCGCCCATCTCTGTCTAACGCATTAATTCTCATCATCCATTATCAAAATGTTATCCTATGAAAGTTTCCCATGTCCTGCTGCTTTCCTTCTTTCTTACATAATCTTTAGTCTACCTTGTTATCTTTTGTCTTATTTTTGCCCCAGGACTGACAATAAGGAAAAGCTACCATCATTACTTGTGGACTTGCTCCAGTATAATTTTGTCAGGCTTGTTATCTTGGAAGTGAGGACTATGTCTTGCAAAGAAACATATTCATTGGGTCAATGTGTTATCAAATAAAAGATTTTATCTACTTATCATCCAATAATTAATTTAGACTGACTTGAACAGATTTTTTTTAAGGACGAAAAGGAGAAGATGATATAAGAGGAAAATACAATACAATATCAAATGCTAGCTATTATGACTCTTGCTTCATGGATTTTTACATATATATTAGACACATGGTGGGTATATGTGTGCAATGATGATCCAAAAACTGAATGCTGACTGGCATAAGGAATGCCTGCATTACACTGAGTCTTGTCTACTTTTCCAATTATGAACAGAAAGCTGCAGTAGTATTTGTATGAGTATCAAAACTTCTAGCTGCCTGAGATAGAGGTAGAGCAGATTTACTGAAATAAAAGCCTTGGAAGTAGGAGAGGTTCGTCCTGTGATGATATGGCTGTTGCTCTGGTTGCTGTTGTTAGGAAATACAGTGGGAGTGAAAGCAAGTAGAAGATTGACAAGCTCTGCTCTTCCTCATACTCACAACCCCCTCTAGAGATGGACAGATGCTGGTACAGGAATCTCTGACACCTCTAAGGAAGTCTCTTTGCTTTTTCCAGAATCTTTCCTGACAAGTATTGTATGAGTCACAGATGAGGTGGAAGTGGGTGTAGAAGAAAGGACTAGAGCGAGGGAAGAAGTTTTCAGTCCCAGGTAGTTGTTGTTGCCACGGGGAAACTGAATTTTTCAAAGATTTGTGCCACACTTCTATCGTGTTGGGGAGAGAGGCATCAAACCAGGCTCACTCCTGAGAGAATCATTACATTATTTTAGAGAGAAGGAACTGTAAATTTCTTGTCAAATAGATGTTTAAAATTCAAAGCTATCGAGACCATCCCGGCTAACAAGGTGAAACACCGTCTCTACTAAAAATACAAAAAATTAGCTGGGCGTGCTGGCGGGCACCTGTAGTCCCAGCTACTTGGGAGGCTGAGGCAGGAGAATGGCATGAACCCGGGAGGCAGAGCTTGCAGTGAGCGAGATCGCGCCACTGCACTCCAGCCTGGGCGACAGAGCGAGACTCTGTCTCAAAAATAAATAAATAAATAAATAAATAAATAAATAAATATAAAAACATTCAAAGCTACTGATTTTGTTGTTGTTGTTGTTGAGATGGAGTCTTGCTCTGTCACCCAGGCTGGAGTGCAGTTGCATGATCTTGGCTCACTCCGTTTCCCAGGTTCAAGCGATTCTCCTCCCTCAGCCTCCCAAGCAGCTGGGATTACAGGTGTGTGCCATCACACCTGGCTAAATTTTGTATTTTTAGTAGGGACGGAGTTTTGCCGTGTTGGTCAGGCTGGTCTCGAATTCCTGACCTCTGGTGATCTGCGCGCCTCGGTCTCCCAAAGTTCTGGGATTGCAAACATGAGCCACTGCCCCGGCCCTACTGATGTATTACTATTATTCATCTTCTTGAATACAGCAAGTGGTAAGGTGCAAATCCACAATTTAAACTTGAGATTTCTACTCCTATGTGAATTATACCAGTGAGGAACAGAAAAATTCTGTATTGTTTGGGAGATGATGTTTGACAGTGATCAGTTTGTGAAGCAGAGGATTATGTCACAATACGTTCCACGGTATTACATATAAAAATAACGAATGGCCTTAAACCCAGAAGAGTCTGCATTTCTCATGAGCCATACTACCACCAAGAAAGAATTGAATTGAAACTCGTGACTACTTGATGAAGGGTGTATAGGAAGAGGGAAAGAAAAAGGACACAAAACATAATATTGTAAATGGAAATGAGAAAGTCATTACACAGCCTATTAGAGTAAAAAAAATAAAGAGAGGCTAAATGAGTAACTTTTTGGCAACTAACTTGACAAAAGTGGTGCAATCTTCACCTCCTGGGTTCAAGCAATTCTTGTGACTCAGCCTCCCAAGTAGCTGGGATTAGAGGCGTGTACCACCACTTATGGCCCTTTTTTTTTTGCATTTTTAGTAGAGACATGGTTTCACCATGTTGGCCAGGCTGGTCTTGAACTCCTGACCTCAAACGATCTGCCCACCTCAGCCTCCGAAAGTGCTGGGATTACAGGTGTGAGCCACTGTGCCCGGCCTTAAAGCAGTATTTTCATTTAGTAAAGTGTAGAAGAAAAAACATAAATAAAGTGACAACAAGAAAACAAAATGCCATTATGAAAAATGGTAACTTTAGGGCAGAAAACAAGAAAAGGCAAACCAAGATTCTCATAAGGTAAGCCTCCAATCCACAATCCTAGGAGGAATGTCAATGCTGAAAACCCTGGAGCATCCAGGGAGTGGCCAAAAATACTAAATGCTGAAAACCCAGAGTACCCGAGTATCAGCCTATGAGTGTCCCCACACCAAATGCCAGGAAACCCTGGAATATCCAGGGGCTGACCAGTGCAGAAAATCCTGGAGCCTCAGTTGGGTGGCCAACAGTGAGCCCCAAAGGCCTGATTGGGACCACAGAACAATGTGACTCTGGCTTCTTACGGCCAACAGAACAGGAGAATTCTTACATCCAAGTGTCCTGCCTTAAACAATTGCACAAACACAATTAGCAGGGAGCCAAAGCCAAAACTGCAAAGCAAACACATATATCAGGGCAGAAAATAAGATAAAATGGCTGATGGATAAATAAAATGGCATTAGAGGAGAAATGACTAAGAGAAGGACCAAGGAGGATGTAGTCAGGTGTGCTATGGAGGACTTCAAATGGACTATCGAGTCAAAGGCCTTATTCCCTGGATCATCCAATATAGGTCAGGTGGGCAGAGGGGACACTTACAGGTGTGCAGGAGCCAAAATGGTGCCAAGCAGTCTCTAACGTGGGGCCTGCGTGAAAATCTCTCCAGGCTCCCCAGCTTGGGTGGGTTGGGCTCCTACGGGGAACTGGAGCACGGAGCGGCTGGCCTGCATGAAGCAGTGGCTCTGTGGCCACTTGCCCATCCCCAGGGCTCCACCGCCTGTCAGGAAAGATGATGGCTCTTAAAACAGCCTTTGGCTAGTGTTAACAGCTCTGCAATGTTAGCAACTCTGTAGCTTTGATCGCTGTAGCACTGATCACCGTCTCACCCTCTCTCACTGATCTCTGTCTTCCCAATTCTCCAATAGCTGTCCTGCTCATTGCTGACCGCTATGTCCATCTTCTCACAAAATCCCATCTCTTGCTGTCTCTTGTTGTCTTGCTTTCTCTGCTGTTTCTGCTGTCTCACTGCCACATCAGACGCTGCCTCTCACCATCTCTAGAGTTGAGTGGCTGGCTTAATCCTGATGCAAGGCAAGTTCTTGGATTTGCTCGGGAAAGAACGTTAGAGTAAGCCGGTGATTGAATAAAACAGCTTTATTGATGGGGCAGCAGTGTTACAGCTCTGTGACTAAGCCTGTGGAGCAGGCATAATTCATAGGCAGAGGGCCAAGAGTAGCAGCCAGGTGCAGTTTTACAGTCACATTTATACCCACTTTTAATCATGTGATAATTAAGGGGTGGGTTATCGAGAAATAGCTCGAAAATGGGTCGTGTTGCCCCAACTTCCCGGTGTTGCCATGGCAGGGCAGCAATTTCCAGGTGTTGCCATGGCAAGGCGCTGCGACTTCTGGATGTTGCTATGGCAATGGTAAACTGTCATGGTACTGGTGGGTATGTCTTACGGAGAGGTGTTTTCAGAATCCTATTCCTGTTTTGGCCAGCCTCACATCTGGTCCAGAGTGAAGTGCTGCCTACCTCTTACCTCAAAAGTAACAAGAAATCTGTAATAACAAGTTACCCAGAAAAAACTCCAAATTTTATTTGGTGGTTAGTGACATGGTACTTATCAAAATTACACAAACTTTCAAGGGAATAAAAAAAATACTCAGAATTATTATAGGAGGTCATAATGTCCTCCAGTCCAAAAATTAATGAGGACATAACAAAAAAAGGATATTAAAGGCTGGTATCTCTTATGAACATAGACACAAAAATCATAAGAAAAAATAAAAATGGAATCCATCTGTGTATCTACACATTTAGTGAACACACGTTGTAAAAAGTGTTACAGTTTTTACGATAAGAACTCTTGATAGGTAATTTTAATTTCTGAAAAATTTATATGAACTATAAGGTATGTTGGATCTCTTTCCCTAACTTAAAAAATATTTCCTCGCATTTAAATATTTTCCAATTTTTAATAACTTTTTATTACTTAGACTTTTAGTTGATATAAATAAGAAATGTGTATTAAAAGCCTACCATTTTGATTTAACCTATGAAACACATTTAAATTCTTGGAAAAATCCAAAAATACCTAGAAAAGTGAGCTCTTGCTAGAAGATACACAGTTCTTTAGTGTCAGGCTGAGATTATCTACCAGAAATAACTTTTGGCTCATGTAGCTTTCAGTACACTGCAAGAATAAAAGATGTGAAGACAACATTACTTAATTGGATTTGCAATTACTCACTATTCACTATTAACCAATTTTATTGAAAAAAAATGATTCCAATCAAATACTCTGATTTTAAATGTACTGTTGAACAAGTACACTCGTGTAAATGCCTCCAAAATCAATACACACAACATTTCTATAACTCCAAAAAGTTTTGTCCTGCTCTTCAGGAATCAACTTGCTTTCCACCTCACAGAACAGACCATCCTTGGTCAGCTTATTGTTAGTATAGATTTCACTTTCTTTTTAAGAATTTTACATAAATGGAATATAGCACGTGTTCTTTTGTGGCTGGTGACTTTCATGCAGCATAATTGTTTCCTAGGCTCATTCATGTCGCCCTGTGTCCTCATGATGTGTTACTCTTCACTTTTGGGTACTATTTAACTGTGTAGTAATTTCACAATGTATCCCACCACCTGCTGATAGATATGTGGGTTGTTTCCACTTTGGGCTATTATGGATAAAGCTACCAAGAATGGTATTATACATGGCTTTGCATGAATATTTCTTTATTTCTTTTAGGCAAATACCCAGGAGTGCAGTTACTGGGTCTTACAGCAAGTGTTTAATACTCCACCAAACTGTTTTCCAAAGTAGTTGTACCATTTTACATCTCAGCCCAGAATTGATGAGTGTTCTCAATGTTTCAGCTACTTGTTTTTAAGAATTTTTCTTAATCTTCACTCAACAGTGACCAGAATGGCTAATCATCATTAAGTCATGTTTTCCTTACAATTCTCTTGACTTTTATGGGTGCTTGACTTGTATTAGGATATTGAAAACAGGATCAATATTGTCTAAACCCCCTTTCAAACACTTTTCCTAAGTCATGATATTTAGGATGATAAGAGGAGATCTAAAGGGACTGCTGGTAGTAGTAACAGGCATTATTCAATATTTATTATCATACTCCATAAGGCAATACATTTTGAGTGAAATAGCATTCAATTAGACTCAGGATAAAAAGCTTCTAATCTCAGCTTTAGCATTAAATATTAGGAAACCTTTGAGAAAACAATCCAGGAAGACAAATCAGAGTGTTTTGCTAGTGGAGAAGTGCTGCAACACCTAAACCCTATTAATGCCAGATCTTTGCAGTGATTTCCACTCATAAAGTTGGGTTGACTCCTTGCCTTGTTCTCCTATGTGTCTGTGTGACTTCATGCTGAGGGGATGTGACATCACAGAGGGAGAAGTGCACTTGTGTACAGAAACATGGCTTAGGAGATTGGCTTTGGAGGTGGCTGCAATGAAATATACGTTTTGAAGAAGTTCCCTATGAAATGTCTTATAAACTGTTTCTTCTGGCCAGGTGCTCGGGCTCACACCTGTAATCTCAGCACTTTCAGTGACCAAGGAGAAAGGATCAGGATCATGTAAGGCCAAGAATTTGATGCAAGCCTGGGCAACATAGGGAGACCCCATGTCTACAACACACACACACACACACACACACACACAATTTGTGAACAATGTCATCACAAAGTGATTATTTATGAACATTTGCTCAGAAAAGTAGAAAATAAAACAATGTCTTCTGAGCTAACAATACTATAATAAAGACGTTAGTTATTTAACTATAGTAAATACAGAGAATATAAGATTGTCTATCTTAACCATACTTGAGAGTGCAGAGAAGTGGCATTAAGTATATTCACATGTTCTGCCATTATTACTGACATAATCAGTAAAAATCTTTTCATCTTATAAAAATTAATATGTATACCCCTTAAACAATACTCCACCCATTTTCTCTATCCCTACCTCCAGCAACCTCCATTGCAGTTCTGTCTTTATGTCAATGACATGTTTGAAGCAACTTCGCTGTGCACTGGTTACCAACGTACTTGAGCGTGGGGGAAGAGAACACCCCCCACAGCAAGTTACATGAAGTGGGTTTATTATTACAGATAAGCAGCAAGGGAACACAAAATTCTTGGACTCATTATGGGTCAGTCCCCCAAGGCACAGGAAAGCTATGTGGAGCTGATGGAGTTGACTATGTGTACCCCACATACACCACAGTGCAGGAACTCAGGAAAGCAGCCACTCTGGGTTTTGTATCCTGGGGTAAAAAGACACACAGGGCTGAAGTGCTAATGGACATTCTATTCTATGGGAAACTGGTATAGAGGACAGGTAGGTTGTTCTGCTCAGTTCCTGTCTATCTCAGGATGTTACAATTCCAGCACGTTCTGCAATTGTACTTGAGAACTCTTAAAATAAGCAAGAAAGTGGAGAGAACTAAGTCAGTCCAGGGTCATTGCAGAACGGTCTTGCAGTTATCTCATCCCCCTTAGCAAAGCTAGCATACTTCATATGCCCACCAACTTCCCCTGAACTGGAGGCAGAGGTTTATCTTTTCAGATTGATGAAGCACCTTGACTTACACAATCTCAATGCAGATTATGAAGCCATAGTGAGAGTACATTTCACTGGGCCATGAAAAGCTAGTACCACTGGTAGGAGGATAAAACTCCCCAAGCAGTGACTAAGATGTTAAGAGGTGAAAGGGGGATCTTTTGATGTCCTATTGTCTGCAGCCAGTGAGCCTGCTTTATGATCACCCCTACTTGTATTTCTAGGATATCTGAGGTGTTTATCCAGGTACAGCAGCCAGTGTTGGGTGTTGGTAATTGCATGGAAAGTCCATTTGTTTCCATGAGAGTGTGCCCATTGTTATGTTGATTGGGCAGTGAGGCTGTTTCTTGGTCAGAGTGAAGTCTCATGGAATATCCAAAAACATGACATAAATTCCTCTCAAGGGTGGCCATGGTAGCCCCAGCATCTAATAGAGTGACATATATTTAGCTGTCCAGGAAGCAAGCTATTGCCATAGTCCTTTTCTCCACTCATGAGATCCTTTAATAGTTCAGTCACTCAGTTGCTATTTTCCTGACCAGACAGCTGGGCTGTTGGCAATGGCCCATGATTTAGTGGAAATGGAGCAAAATATAGTGTTGGGGGCAGCCTGCATGGCTACTATCATTTCATGTAGTTTGTCCCATTGGGCAGAATGACCATGTTCAGTGTCAGTCAAAAGATGCCATCCCCTGGCTGGATGGTGGCTGCACCCAGTGGATCCACTGGCATGTGTTTTGTACAATCATCAGGGCCCCATGCCATACTGACACAGGCATGTCTCTGAATCTTTGGCTCTATGTGGCCAAAGGAGAAGCTAAATTGTCCCCTATGGGCCATTTGTTCCCTTCTAGCAAGCTTGCCATTTATTCATGGGGCACATGGGTCCTGTGGGATCCTGGTTAGGGCTGATTCTGACTGTATCATTTCCACTTAATGATTTGGATCTGTTGGGCCTGTCCAGTTTTATTGATTGTGTTTGTAGGTACCAAAGTGAGAATGGTTAGTTAAGGTCGCAGCATCCTGCCTGGTGCTCTAGCTCTGAGATACTCAGCCCCTATCAGTTTCCTACAGCAAGCAAGGAGCTGCCATTCAAAAGAGGCACAACTGTTGGCTGCTTCAGGAAATTTTGTGTCCAAAATCTGAGTCTGGTGCACCCAGTGACAGTAGAATCACCTGACATCAGATGTTAGTCTGAGCCCTGATGTGTGATACAATGTGAAGGGTTCAGGAGGGGTCATTCTTCTTGGCAAATTAGGTGTTCAGAAGAGCCAGTAGCACTCTAAATCTCGGTTGGGGGAAACTCAAATTATTGAGTCCCCACAGAGACCTCCATAACATTGGTTCATGAGACTCCCAGGGAAAGCTGGGAAAGATGACTGACTGAAGTCCATGTGTTGAATCATTCTCATTATTAAAAGCCCCTGCTCATTAATGGCATTTCGATTAGCATCCACTTGGAAAGCATTTTTTTTTTTGGATTATGGCTCATTTTAAAAACATCTAGTCATAGCTCTTCCACAATGACTTTGTCTGTAATCATCCTGTTGCATTTCTTTTAAGGCCTGATGATCTGTCAAAACCAACAGCCAATATTATTAAAATGTTATTCTCTTTGCAATGTGATCATCAGACATAGGCCTTGCAGTTTACCCACTGTTTTGATTTTTACATTTCCAGGGCTTCCTTGACAATGGCACTGATGTGACTCCATCCAGCATCCATTGTTGTGAGAACTCTATTTGGCATATCATCATTGTGGGCATGAACATAATGGAGACTTTCATAGGATGCAATGATTAATATTCAACATTAGTCAAAATTTCTTCTAGTCCTACCCTTGGAGCTCTACTGGGTTGGAAAATATTTTCGGACAAGGACAATCATTTGGTAGAGTTTTAAAAATAAAGGCTACAAATAAATTTTCCATAGCAAGAGTATGAACTATGTGTGGTCCAGAATACAATTTTTTATGGAATGTAACAAAAATTATTTAAATGTATTCAATTTAGATAATAATTTTACAAATAGGCATATATTGCATATATAATAGAATTAACACACTTAAGTATGAGTACTATATATATAGCCAACATTTTATCAAATAATATATTGACTTGTATGTATCTTACATACATGTATGCACATTTTCCCATAAATATGGTAAATTTTAATTTTTTATTGAAATATTAGTTTTAATTTTGTCATTAATTTTCTAAGTTTATAATTTGATTACTAAATATTTACATTTATGCCACTAATTTAAGAAAAAATACATGTGTGTATATATAGGTAGAGGTGTAAATACTGTATCAGGAAGCTTTTATGCATTAATGATTGGTAACTGGCTAAATACACAACTCAGTGACAGAAAATAGTAAACATTTGTTTTCATGTTCATAGATGCTCACGTTCACAGTAATCTGGCTGATCAAGGAAGGGTTCAGGTGAGTGGTTTCTCTGCATGGCACTGAGCTTGTCTTCAGCCTACACATATCAACTGTCTGAGGACAAGGCTGAACAGCAGTGACTACCCATGACTCAAGATTCTTCTGGCAGGTCACAAGAGTGAACAGCATCCCAAACCAAACTGCACAGTTGAGTTTAAGTCCAATAATTTCTAACATAGCTTCACACATTTCAAATATATTGCTTTATTTCAGTGAGTACAAATTTTTAAGAAAATGTTTACTCCATTTAATTATAGAGGTGTTTGATCATTCCATGGACAAATAATTATGTTTTCAACCTTTACAATATTGAAAATATTTGCAAATGTAAATTTGCATTAATAAGAAAATAAAGCTGGATGCGTTTTCAACATGTGGCTTTAAATATAATTTATTTAAATGGCCTCATGGGGGAAAATCATTTTAACTTACATAAATTCTCATTTTGTCTCTCTTGTTTCTTATAGAGTTGCCCAATAAGAAGTCCTCCCATGAGATTTGGAAGTCCGAAAAGGATGACTCAATATTCTCCATTGGTACCTAAGACAGACACAGGGACAGACATGAGGACTAGAGAAACACCTGAAAAGATGCTGTAGGAAGCTGAGAGCATCAGCACCCCCACCCCTAAGCTTCCAGACAGGACTGAGGACCATATGGTTAGAAAGCCCATACTTCAGAGGAAGATGCATTCTGTTGCCTGAGGGAGGATCAGAGATTCCTGCTTCTAATATCAGCTTTCATGACTACTATATCCTTGGCTTTGAAAGGTTGTAGTGGGAAACTTAATCTTAGGAATTTGGTCATTCTTGTCATACCCAACAGAGCAAAGAAACCAGTGGGGAAAGGCACTCAGGGTGCAAAATATTGTTTCTAGAATGCAATTGAAATAGGCCCTATTATCCCATGGAACTAATGTTTATGTTTTTTTGTATAAACATAGAAATTGACTCCCCCAGTCTTAAAACTCAAGATAGTTACATCTGTCTTATCTGAGTTTTTTTTTGTTTGTTTGTTTTTTCAGTAAACCAATGAACAGGCCTCCCAGATACTATCAAGGAGCTGAAACTTACATATCACTGAATCGGGACAGTGAGACATCAGAACCTTCACCCATTATGATTGCCTCACTGACCTCCTGCTTCCTGTTGACCAAATTATCTTCCTTACCCCTCCCTAATTCCTGTTTTCCCACATTTCTTCCCTGCTATATAAACTCCTAATTTCAGTTGGTCAGGGAGATACATTTGAGAATGGTATCACATCTCCTAGGCTGCAGCACCTGATTAAAGCCTGTTCCTTGGCAATGCTTGTTGTCTTAGTGATTGGCTTTCTGTGGGGTAAGCTGCAGAGTCTTCACTGAATCCCTGGCATTTCAGTAACAAAATTCTCTGCAACCTTCACTGCTTTGGCTTATTGTAACCTGAAATCAAATTTGTCCACAACTTCTGAGATAACTTGATATAATTCTAGGATTCATTTTGTCCACCACTGCTTACCAGTCTGAGCTTGCCAGCTCCCAACCCTTCCTAGTGCCAATGAACTTTCTCAAAGAGCCACAGGTAACATTTTCCCTTTTTCATAAAATGCTAATTTTCTCTTCGTTCTTCCAATATCTTGAAGACCACTGAGTTTTCCTGTATGCCCCACCTGGCAAATATTTCTTTGCAAATAAAACTTAAATTTAGAGATTCATCTCTACATTTTATTTTGACTTTAGTAGTTTACTTTAATTCTCTGTATTAAGACAATTCCTGCTTAGAATATCTATAGTGGCTTCTTCTGTGTTATATGAATTCAAGCTGAAGCCATAAACTAGACTCCTCAAGTGTCATGATCTCTGTATTTATCAAATCAGGAGATGCATTGCTATGTCTGTGCAGTTGGGGCTGAGAAAGAGAAAAGAATTAGGGTGCAGAGGCGATTTCACGTACCCCTCTACCAACACCATCAGAGTGTGGCTGCATCTGAGCAACACTCTCAGCCAATGGAGGCATCAGGAGGAGCAGCTGGGGCAGCCCAGCTTCACACATCTGCTTCCCTGGGGGTTTATGTTCGGGTTGGTAACACTGTGGGAGGGAAACTGTTAGCCTGTTGACAATAGTAAGTTGCAAAATCTTCAGGCTGCAGGCTGCTGATGGTGAGAGTGAAATCTGTCCCAGATCCACTGCCGCTGAACCTTGATGGGACCCCACTTTGCAAACTGGATGCAGCATAGATCAGGAGCTTAGGGGCTTTCCCTGGTTTCTGCTGATACCAGGCTAACCAGCTGCTAATACCCTGACTCGCCCGACAAGTGATGGTGACTCTGTCTCCTACAGATGCAGACACGGAAGATGGAGACTGGGTCATCTGGATGTCGCATCTGGAACCTGAGATTGGAAACATAAAAACAAATGTCCACACAATTAATCATGCTGTAAGAGAAGTTCCCTGAATAGTAAAGCAGTACTCAGCACACTGACCGAGTATAATCCTAGTGTTCTCCTTTCTTACCTGGGAACCAGAGCAGCAGGAGCCCCAGGAGCTGAGCGGGGACCCTCATGTCCATGCTGTGTCCTGACTGGGTCTGACTCCTGCACAGGGTGTGATCAGCCTGTTAATAAGTCTTCAGGTCAGGAGACTGTGCTCTGGGAACATGCAAATGAGCAGGGGATGGGGCAGGCTGGGCGCAGCTGCAGGGCTGGCTCATCTCAGTAACTCAGCACCAGCTCAGTGTCCCCAGGTGTCCCAGGTAAGACCAGGGTAGCACAAATTTGTCTGCAGAGAATGTGTTTCTACTGGGAACTATTTTGTTGTGAGTAACATTTTTTGGTTTCTTTTTGACGATTTGAAATATTCCTCAGGAGTTGATGGACTAATGTATTTCATTGGTGTATGGGGATTATTTAGGAGAATATTGTTGTTTGTAGGAAACACATAGTAAAATGTTAGACGGTACAATTCTCAAGTCTTCAAAAGACTCTTATATGATTCCGGCTAGGGAAGGGGGTATTTGTCGTATACATGCAACATTTCTGTGAGTTTAACATTGTTCCTATGTAAAAAAATTAAAAATAAAATTTATTGACATGATGGTACATACATTTGTAAGTATCAGGTAATGGTGTTATGCCATTGTTCTTACCAGTATGAGATCAAACTATGTACTATAGATACACAAAGATGATACCGTGTTTTCTCGATGCATGCAGCAGTCACAGATCCACAATTATCAAGAGCGACAGGTCTCTATAGTACTCAGACACTAAATGGGTTGCACCTTATTCTTGTTTTGGGCACCTTCATAGTCTACCTTCTTTTCTGCCATTCAGTATTATTTCCCAAAGTTCATCTCTCTTACTGAGGGTGACCACTGCATGGAGCATGTCCCTGCCATGCACCATCAATGACACTTTCCTCTTTTACTTTTTATCAGTGATTGGGGAAATCATCCTGACCCAGGCAACAGCCTCCCTGTTAACTGCTTTAGGAAAGAGACACTGAATCTCTTATCAAGCAGTTGCCTATGTACATGGAGAAATCACTTGGATCCAGATGAAACTGGACAGGGATTTGCACTCGTTATATCTCATATCTCTAATGTGCCCAAAAATGTCCCAGCCTGACTCAGTAGCAGGGAAAGTGGATCCAACTACATCAGCATCAGTGGGCTGCCACCTAGGACTCCACAAAATTTTACTGATGCCTGACTAGGGGAGCCAAATCACAGTGCTGCAGGCTGTGCACAAACCTTCCTGCTGTTTTTTAAGCTGCCTGAATTTTAAGGGAACTTGCTTATATTGGGAGAAAGGAAGAAAGCTCCATTTGTCCTCTAAATATTTGCTGAAAATGAATGGACAAAAGAAAGATTAATAAGAGAAAAGACAAACAAAATTCATTTGAAGTGCAGCAGAATATCATAGCAGGGTGATTACCCAGATAACTCAATGGGATACAGTTGTTTATATTTCTTTTCTAAGGAAGAGGGAATTGAGAAGTGTAGGCAACCTGGAAAGAATAGATGAGAACAGAAGTGCATCCTCAAAAGAACAGGTCATAGCCTGTCTGGATAAAGCATCAACTTCAGTCTCTTGTATTTTAGATTCCTCTTTTGTGTTAATATTCCCTGATGTAAAAATTCTCAGGAAGAATTTTTTTGACAATTGGTTTCCTTCTGGAGAATCTGCTATTATGCAGATAAGGGACATTTAGGAAAAGTCTTTTTGTGCATTTGGTGCTTTCTAAATGTCTTTGGTTTTACATAATCATCATACCAGTGCAGCGTAGTTTGAGATGTTATTTTCTGGATTCCTTTACTTGCAACCCACCTGCCAAGATCCTGTTCCAGAGAGATGCAGCTACAGATTGAATGAGCAGTTGACCCTTGAACAACATGGAGGTTTGGGCACTGACCATGGGTGCAGATGAAAACCTGTGTAGAACTTTTGCATTTCTAACTCCAGGCATCATCTTGAAAGTGGAGAAAGCAGACCTTAACCTGCCCATGTCTTGATCTTTAATTTCCCATTCTCCAGAACTGTAAGAAAATAAATTTCTGTTCCTTATGAATTACATAGTGACAATGAATCTGTTATAGCAGCTTGAAATAGAACAAGAGAGACAGCGCACAATCAGTGAGGACACGATGAGGTGTATACATACCCCAGCTTCCTCATCTCTCAGGTGGAATAGCCCAGAGGAACTTAGTCCATGTTTCCACATGTGGTTGATCTTTGGTTATCCTGAGTCAGGTAGGTTGTTGATGTGTCTTTTTCCATTCATCTTCTGTTCTCTTCCTCACTTTCCTCCTTTCCTCCCAGTGTAAATTTGCTGCCTAAACAGGGATCCTCATTGAGGGTGGACCCAAACTAAGATAGTTAAAAAAAAAAATTGTTAATCTTTTGTAAGAGGGGTATTTCTCATCTGAATTCTGATAATTTCTTTTTCTTTGACATGTAGGAATATTCAGGAGGCACTTAATTTTTTTTTTTTTTTTTACCAATCTGTTTTACATTCAATTTGTGAACTGATTTTGTTTTTCTGTGTGTTAAAACCAAAAATTAAGTTGTAAGCCACCAACCTGCTGAATGGACTCCTCTTTTGTAAAGAGCACTTCAAAGAAATTTGAAAAACTAGGTTAGGCCATGACTGGCAGGTGGGTTTAGATGTGCCTCATTATACTTTGGAGTTCAGACACAACTGACCAACATTGTCATTACAACAGAGATCTTTGGGCTGACAAAACAGACGCTTTGTAGCATTAAGATACCATATTCCAACATGACAGATAATAGGCCCTGAAGAAAATCTAAATATTTTACCTTAAAAATATTTCTTCATCATATTCTGAAGTGGTTCTGCAAAGCTGCCAGTTGTGGGGGAAATTTGCATTCTATAGAGAATCTCCTCCCCTTACTAAGTCTTTTTTAAAGTCTGACATTTTTTAAAGCTCTGATAAGCAACATTCACCTTGTACTTTATCTGCTACTGATAGGATTCATCTACATGACAAGAACCTTGGCTTCCACATCCCCTTTTCTACACTCAAGCATTTCTTTATGATGAATTCAACTCTTTAGACAGACCTTAACTCTTTCAACCAGTAGCCAGTAAGGAAAGCTTTGAATTCACCTATGACCTGGAAGCCCCTGCTTCAAGCTATCCCACCTTTCCAGGACAAACTAATGTATATCTTATATGTATTGATTTATGTCTTTCCCTGTATTTCTGTGTTTCCCTAAAGTGCTTAAAACCAATGTGTAATCCAACCGCCTTGGGCACATGTTTACAGGACCTTCTAAGGCTGTGTCACAGGCCATAAGCCTTATCTTTGGCAGAATAACCCTGTAAATTGATTGAGACCTGTCTCAGATACTGTTTTGTTTATACTGGGTCACAAAATTTAAAAATCCTCTAAAACTATCTACACATCAATAAATCTACATTAGAGACAGTGGAGTGAGCATACCCCAACAGATAAAACTCACAAGTTAGAGGAACCTGAGTCTAAGATTTTGTCCACCTCCCTTGATTCATAAAAATACTTCGTGATTTTTTAAATTTTACTTTAGAGAAGGACAATTTTGGGGAATATGTTTATGGTCGGTGGAATGAATAATGTCCCACCCCAAAGGATGTCCATGTCCTCATCTCTGGAACCCAAGTGTTATAGGAGTTTTTAAGAAATTATTTTAGGCAGATAGGAAAAGGGGTCCTTGGGAAGGTTTTGTTTCCTTTAAAGCAGCTCTAGAAACACTTCTTGTCTAGCCAGAAAGCCCTGGCTCTTAGAGCCAGGCTGGGAAGCTTTCCTATGCAAATCATAGCCATTAGAAACTGGATTCACCCAAACATGGTGATTCCCACCGTTTTCTTCCTTGTCAACACATGTGCCTGGGAAAAACCTGAAAGATGCTATAGGAAGCTGAGAGCAGCTGCAACCCCACCCTTAAGCTTTCAGACAGGACTGAGGACCACATGGTTAGATAGCCCATACTTCAGTGGCAGATGCATTCTATTTTCTGAGGGAGTACCAGAGAATCCTGCTTCTACTGTCAACCTGCCTGACTACTATATCCTTGGCTTTGAAAGGTTGTAGTGTAAAAGTTAATCATAGGAATTCGGTCATTCTTGACATACCCAACAGAGCCAAGAAACCAGGAGGGAAAACCACTCAGGGTGCAAAATATTGTCTGAAGAATGCAATTGAAATAGACCCTATTATCCCATGGAACTAATGTTTATGATTTTTTGAATAAACATAGAAACTGACTCCCCCAGTCTTAAAACTCAAGGTAGTTACATTTGTTAATCTGAGTTCTTTTTTCAGGAAACCAACCATCAGGCCTCTAGATACTATCAAGGAGCTGAAAGTTATATATCACTGAATGGGGACAGTGAGACATCAGACCCTTCACCCATTATGATTGCCTAACTGACCTCCAGCTTCCTGTTGACTAAATTATCTTCCTTACCCCTCTCTAATTCCTGTTTTCCACATTTCTTCCCTGCTATATAAACGCCTAATTTATTTTGTCAGGGAGATACATTTGAGAATGGTGTCCCGTCTCCTCGGCTGCAGCACCTGATTAAAGCCTGTTCTTTGACAACACTTGTTGTCTTAGTGATTGGCTTTCTGTGTGGTGAGCCGCAGGATCTATACTGAATCCCTGGCATTTCAGTAACAAAATTCTCTGCAAGCTTCACTGCTTTGGCTTATTGTAACCTGAAAGCAAATTTACCCACAACTTCTGAGATAACTTAATATAATTCTAGGATTCAGTTTGACCACCACTGCTTACCAGTCTGAGCTTGCCAGCTCCCAACCCTTACTACAGCCAACAAAATTTCTCAAAGAACAATAGGTAATAATTTCCCTTTTAATAAAACTCTTTGCTCTTCCAACATATTGAAGACCATTGAGTTTTCCTGTATGCCCCATTTGGCAAAAATTTCTTAGCAAATAAAACATTAAATTTATCTGTACATTTTATTTAGACTTCAATACTTTAGACTCTAATTCTATCTATTAAGACTATTCCTGCTTAGAATATCTATAATGGCTTCTTCTCTGTTATATGAATTCTAACCAAAGCCATAAACTAGACTCTTCAGGTGTCATGATCTCTATCTTTATTAAATCAGCAGAGGCATTGTAATGTCTGTGCAGCTGGGGCTGAGAAAAGAAAAAGAAATTGGGATGCAGAGGTGATCTCATATCCTCCTCTACCAACACCATCAGAGTGTGGCTGCATCTGAGGAACACTCTCAGCCAATGGAGGCATCAGGAGAAGCAGCTGGGGCGGCCCAGTCTCACACATCTGCTTCCCTGGGGGTTTATGTTCGGGTTTGTAACACTATGTGAGGGTAATTATTAAACTGTTGACAGTAATAAGTTGCAAAATCTTCAGGCTGCAGGCTGCTGATGGTGAGAGTGAAATCTGTCCCAGATCCACTGCCGCTGAACCTTGATGGGACCCCACTTTCCAAACTGGAGGCATCATAGATCAGGAGCTTAGGAGCTTTCCCTGGTTTCTGCTGATATCAGGCTAAAGCACTGCTAATGCCCTGACTTGCCCGGCAAGTGATGGTGACTCTGTCTCCTACAGATGCAGACAGGGAGGATGGAGACTGGGTCAACTGGATGGCACATCTGGCACCTGAGATTGGAAGCATAAACACAAATGGTCCACACAATTAATCATGTAGTAAGAGAATTTCCCTGAATAGCCAGGCTGTACTGAGCCCCCTGGGCTGAGTAAACTGCTAGTGTTCTCCTTCCTTACCTGGGAGCCAGAGCAGCAGAAGCCCCAGGAGCTGAGCGGGGACCCTCATGTCCATGCTGTGTCCTGAGTGGGTCTGACTCCTGCAAGAAGTGTGACCAGCCTATTAAGAAGTCTTCAGGGCAGGAGGTTGTGTTCTGGGAATATGCAAATGAGCAGAGGATGGGCAGGCTGGGCACAGCTGCAGGGCTGGCTCATCTCAGTAACTCAGCACCAGTTCAGTGTCCCCAGGTGTCCCAGGTAAGACCAGGGTAGCACAAATTTGTCTCCAGAGAATGTGTTTCTACTGGGAACTATTTTATTATGAGAGACATTTTTTAGGTTTTTTTTGACAATTTGAAATATTCCTCAGGAGTTGATGGAGTAATGTATTTCATTGGTGTATGGGGATTATTTAGGAGAATATTCTTGTTTGTAGGAAATATATAATAAAATGTTAGACGGTATGATTATCAGGTCTCCAAAAGACTCTCATATGATCCCGGTTAGGGAAGGGGTTACTTTGCCCTATACTTGGAACATTTCTGTGATTTTAACATTGTTCCTTTCTAAAAAAAATCAAAAATAAAATTTATTGACATGATGCTATATATACATGTCAGTATTCGGTAATGGTGTTATGCCATTGTTCTTACCACTATAAGATCAAGCAATTTACTACAGATCCACAGAGATGATGCCTATGTACATGGAGAAAGCAGTTTGATCCAGACAAAACTGGAAATGATTTGCAATCATTATATCGCACATATCTAATGTGCCCAAAACTGTCCCAGCCTAGCTCAGTAGCAGGGGAAGTGGATCCAACTATATTAGCATCAGTGGGCTGCAGCCTAGGGCTCCACAAAATTTTACTGATGCCTGAGTAGGGGAGCCAAATCACAGTGCCATAGCCCGTGCACAAACCTTCTTGCTGCTTTGTAAGCCGCCTGAATTTTAAGGGAACTTGCTTATATTGGGAGAAAGGAAGAAAACTCCATTTGTCCTCTAAATGTTTGCTGAAAATAAACTGACAAAAGGAAGATTAATAAGAGAAAAGGCAAACAAAATTCATTTAAAGTGCAGCAGGATATCATAGCAGGGTGATTACCCAAATAACTCAATAAGATCCAGTAGTTCATATTTCCTTTCCAGCGAAGACGGAATTCGGAAGTGTAGGCAATCTGGAGAGAATAGATGAGAACAGAAGTGCATCTTCAAAAGAACAGGTAATAGCCTGTCTGGATAAAGCATCAGTTCCCAGTCTCTTCTATTTTTGATTCCTGTTTTGTGTTAATCTTCCCTGATATAAAAATTCTCAGGAAGAAGTTTTTTGACAATTGGTTTCCTTCTGGAGAATCTGCTTTTTGGCAGATAAGCGATGTTTAGGAGAAGGCTTTTTGTGCATTTGCTGCTTTCTAAATGCCTTTGGTTTTATGTAATCCTCATACGAATGCAGCATAGTTTGAGATGTTATTTTCTGGATTCCTTTACTTACAACTCACCTACCAAGATCCTGTTCCAGAGAGATGCAGCTACAGACTGAAAGAGCAGTTGACCCCTGAACAATGTGGAGGTTGGGGCACTGACCACAGGTGCAGATGAAAACCTGTGTAGAACTTTTGCATTTCTAACTTAAGTACTAATAGCTTACTTTTGACTGCTAGCCTTAATGATAAAATAAATAGTTGATTAACACTTTTTTAAGTTATTTATATCATATACTCTATTATTCCAATAAACTATGCTAAAGAAAAAAATGTAATTAAGTAAATTATAAAAATGAGAAAATATATTTACTACTTATTAAGTACTTGCTTACAGGTGACACACACAGAAGAAAATACAAGTGGATCTGCAAATTTCAAACCCAATTTATTCAAGGGTTAACTGTACCAGGATGAATATAGGAGTCTCTATCTGTATTCTAGGGCTTTCTCTTTGCTGTACCTCTGCTCACTTCCAATGGCAATATACATGTCTTATGTTCTTTACAGTCTTGGGCAGAGAACTCTGCCTGCATGCATTGCTGACCAAATGACCTGGAATGTGTATCTCTTAGGAAAGTGCTATGGTTTCACTGTGTCCTCCAGAATCCATCTGTTGTAAAGTTAATTCTCAGTGTAATGGTATTGCCAATTGGGGCCTATTGGGATGTGTTTAGATCATGAGTGTGGTGCCCTCTAGTGGAATACATTAATGCCAGTATAAACAGCAATTGTGGGGCTGGGATCTCTCTCTCTTCTGCTTGTCTGTCATGTTAAGACATGGCCTTCCTTCCTTTGAAGGACCCCAAACTCCAGGCATCATCTTGAAAGCAAAGAAAGCAGACCTTAACCTGCCCATGCCTTGAACTTAAATTTCCCATTCTCCAGAAGTGTAAGAAAATAAATTTGTGTTCTTTATGAATTACTCAGTGAAAAGGAATCTGTTACAGCAGCTTGAAATAGAACAAGAGAGACAGCTCACAATCAGTGAGGACAGGATGAGGTGTATACATACTTCAGCTTCCTCATCTCTCAGGTGGAACAGCCCGGAGGAATTTAGTCCATGTTTCCACAGGTGGTTGATCTTCAGTTCTCCTGAGTCAGGTGGGTTGTTGATGCGTCTTTTACAATTCATCTTCTGTTCCCTTCCTCACTTTCCTCCTTTTCTCCCAGCGTAAATTTGCTGCCTAAACAGGAATCCTTATTGCAGGTGGACCCAAACTAAGACAGTTAAAAAAAAAAAAAAAAAAAAAATCGTTAATCTTTTGTATGAGGGGTATTTCTCATCTGAATTCTAATAATTTCTTTTTCTTTGACATGTAGGAATATTCAGGAAGCACTTAATTTTTCTTTACCAATCTATTTCAGATTGAATTTGTGCAGTGATTTTGTTTTTCTGTGTGTTAAAACCAAAAATTAAGTTGTAGGTCACCAACCTGCTGAATGGACTCCTCTTTTGACAGAAAGCACTTCAAAGAAATTTGGAAAACTAGATTAGGCCATGACTGGCAGGTTTAGATGTGCCTCATTATACTCTCCTCCCTTTGGAGTTCAGACACAACTGACCAGCATTATCATTACAACAGAGATCTCTGGACTGATGAAACAGATACTTTTTAGCAATAAGATACCATACTCCAATGTGACAGATAATAGGCCCTGGAGAAAATAAAAATATTTTATCCTAAAAATATTTCTTTGACATATTCTGAAGTGGCCCTGCAAAGCTACCTGTTGTGGGGGAAAATTGCATTCTATAGAGAATCTCCTCCCCTTACTAAGTCTTTTCCAAAGAGTCTGACATTTTTTTCTAAGGTCTGATAATCAACATTCACCATCTACTTTATTTACTACCCATAGGATTCATCTACATGACAAGAACCCCCCATTTTCTAGACTCAAGCATTTCTTTATGATGAATTCAACTCTTTAGGCAGAGCTTAACTCTTTCAACCAGTTGCCAATCAGGAAAGCTTTGAATCCACCTATGACCTGGAAACCCCTGCTTCAAGCTATCCCACCTTTCCAGGACAAACTTATGTGTATCTTATATGTACTGATTTATGTCTTTGCCTGTAATTTCTGTGTCTCCTAAAGTGTATAAAACCAACGTAAAATCCAACCACCTTAGGCATATGTTTGCAGGACCTCCTAAGGCTGTGTCACAGGCCATAAGCCATATATTTGGCAAAATAACCTGTAAATTGATTGAGACCTGCCTCAGATAGTGTTTTGCTTACACTAGGTCACAAAATTTTAAAATGCCTAAACCGCAGCAGCCCGGCATTCCTCCAGGACCTCCTCCCCCGGGATCTTGCTTCAAGTGCTGGAAATCTGGCCACTGGACCGAGGAATGCCCACAGCCTGGGATTCCTCCTAAGCCGTGTCCCATCTGTGCAGGACCCCACTGGAAATTGGACTGTCCAACTCTCCTGGCAGCCACTCCCAGAGCCACTGGAACTCTGGCCCAAGGCTCTCTGACTGACTCCTTCCCAGATCTTCTCAGCTTAGCTGCTGAAGACTGATGCTGCCCAATCGCCTTGGAAGCCTCCTGGACCATCACAGACACTTTGGGTAACTCTTACAGTGGAGAGTAAGTCCATCCCCTTCTTAATCAATGTGGAGTCTACCCACTCCACATTACCTTCTTTTCAACGACCTGTTTCCCTTGCCGCCATAACTGTTGTGGGTATTGACGGCCAGGCTTCTAAATCTCTTAAAACTCCCCAACTCTGTTGCGAACTTGGACAACATTCTTTTATGCACTCCTTTTTAGTTATCCTTACCTGCCCAGTTTCCTTATTAGGTCGAGACGTTTTAACAAAACTATCCACTTCCCTGACTATTCCTGGGCTACAGCCACACCTCATTGCCACCCTTTTCCTCACTTCAAAGCCTCCTTTGCATCCTCCCCTGTGTCTCCCTGCCTTAATCCACAAGTATGGGATACCTCTACTCCTTCCTTGGCAACTGATCATGCACCCCTTACCATCCCGTTAAAACCTAATCACTGTTACCACTAGAGCCTGTTATCACCCACCTGTTACAACATGGCCTCTTAAAGCCTACAAATTCTCCTTACTGAGGGAAGAGAGAGACCCTCTCATATTGTTTTATATTGTTTTATACTCAGTACCTGTTTTAAGAGTAAAAATCAAGGAAGTGAAATCAGAGACAGGCAGCCCGGCGCCAGGCCTGGGCCTGCCTGGCCTAAACCTAGTAGTTAAAAATCATCTCATGACTTAGCAACCAATGTTATCCATAGATTCCAAGCATTGTATGAAGAACATTGTGAAACTCCCTGTTCTGTTCTGTTTGACTCTGACTACCAGTGCATGAAGACCCTGTTACATAACCCCTAGATTGCTCAATCAATCACGACCCTTTCATGTAAAATCTTTAGTGTTGTGAGCCCTTAAAATGGACAGAAATTGTGCACTCAAGGAGCTCCGATTTTAAGACAGTAGCTTGCCGATGCTCCCAGCTGAATAAAGCCCTTCCTTCTACAACTCGGTGTCTGAGAGGTTTTGTCCATGGCTCATCCTGCTACATTACAACTCCCCTATCCTACCCATCCAGGAACCAGACAAATCTTACAGGTTGGTTCAGGATCTTTGCCTTATTAATCAAATCGTCTTTCCCATCCACCTTATAGTGCCAAACCTCTACACCCTCCTATCTTCAATACCCCCTTCCACAACTCACTATTTTGTTA